>NC_000014.9:79308682-79460197 GCF_000001405.40 Homo sapiens | reverse complement strand
CTATTGCGATGTTCCATTGCTGTGTTACCTTATATATACTTTAACTCCCAGAAAGTTTGACTAAAATACACACGCACATAGTTTCTGGACACACTGATGAGTTTTGACAAACACATCATGACCCTTTGTAAGTAAGTCTTAGGGGTAATGACATTTTCAGAAACACATTACTTTAGAAGCTGTTATATCACAAAAATATAAAAGAAAGTCATTTTTACTCATCAAATTTCAGGATACTTCCGCTAAGGAAAAAGATGATTAGTGGTAGAATACGCAATGCTGTAGACGCTAAAATTGACCTAAAAATAAAGCTTCCACGGACACACTCAAATTCCCTCTTGCTTAAAGGAATTTTCATAAGCTCATTGTTTTTCCTTTGGGACAATTATTTCTTTCACAAACTCTTTGGTACTGTTTGGCAATACTAACTCTAGACTAATGTTAATATCAATATTAATACTAATACCAGCTATGTGTATATATTATTTATTATATATCTTAGTATACAGTATAATATTTCAAAACTCTATATTTTTCACTTGAAATATTTTTTGCTGTGTTAGTTTGCTAGGGCTGTGTAAAATGTACCACAGGCTGGGTAACTTTAACAACAGAAATTCATTGTCTTGCAATTCTGGAGGCTAGAATTTCAAGATCAAAGTGTTAGCAGTGCTGGCTTTTTCTACAGCTTCTCTATTGGCTTGTAGACAATCATCTTCTCCCTGTATCTTCCCATGGTTTTCCCTTTGTACCAATCTATGCCCTAATTTCCTTTTCTTATAAGAGCATCAGTCTTATTGGATGAGGGCCCACCAAAATAACCTCTGAAACTGAAAAATAAAGCAAGGTCAGAAATAGCCCACTCCCGATGAATTACACCACATTCAGAAAACCCTATCTTCAAATGCAGTCACATTCTGAGATACTGAGGGTTATGACTTTAATATCTGAATTTGTAGAGGGGACATAATTCAGCTCATAACAGTTACTATCTTGGTTTTAAAGATGAGGGAAGCTATAGAATAAGGTAAAACTACTTGCCAAGATCTTTTACCAAATATCGAATGGAATTAGGACTTTAATCCAGGTCTAACTCAACAATCTACATTCTTTTCATTATGTCAAACTGTATCTCTAATATTCTCACCATTTACCTGATGATGATGGAAAGAAGGACAATGGCTTTCTAATATGTGGCCAAAATTAAAAACAAAACAAAAACAGCAAACAAGATGAAAACCCAATCCTTTCACAATGCAACTGGCAGTATAGAGGTACTCATTTTATCTTACTTAAATGACAGTGGTTTTACATGAGGTTGTCCTCTTATAAAGTGAATAAAGTAAGGTCAGATAATAGTCCATTCCTGATTAATTATACCACACTCAGACAACTCTAAATTCTGAAGGGTAAATTTATAATGAGGTCTATGTGAGAAATTAACTCACAGCCAACTTAACTTTCATAACCATGCTAGTTTCTTATATAGCAAAACAAAATAAGTTCTAGGAAATTGCACAGTATTCAGGCTTAAGAAAATAAATATTAAGTTTTATTGTCAAACAAAATGGAAATCCAGAATGCTTCTCTACTACGAGCTCCTGGAAGCCAGGGCTGTTTAATTTATTTATCTCTCAACACTGTGAATGCACAGGAAATAAATGCTGTTGAACTAATCAATGAAACCTGGCTTACCTATGCTTACATATCTTCACGTTGCCATTCAGGCATGGAGTAGAATGGGAATAAAGGAATAAGAATATACAATGTTCATTAATTCATCTTGCCTTTTTGTCATTTCATCTCAACGTGGAAATATTTTATAAATGCTCATCAGTTAGAGCTCACAGCATCTCTCATGATGAAATAGAACACAACTTTCAATTTATAAAAGAAACCTAACCACAAAGACATTTGAATGATTTTTCTTTGGTGAATTTTTGGCAGTCTCAGATAAGAAAATCACACCCATTTTTAGTCAAATTGTTTTATGTTACTCCTCCATTTCTAAATCACATTGCAAATTGTTTTTGTAAAAATAAATAGATAAGTGCATCTCAGATTTAACCTAACAGGGATGTACAACAGAAAAGCAACGTGACATCTTTAAGGATAGCCACGTTATTCTATTTTACAGAGCATTAACTAAAAGCAAAGACCATATATACATTTGTTCATAAGCAAAATATAAATGAATAAAGGAAAAACAAAAGTAATCATTTTATAATTACTCAGCAGCCTTTTCTGTAGCATTTTATTTTTCAGAAGTGCATTCCTTCTGATGACATGAGACATGATTAGAGGAAAGGAGAAGTTTGGAACATACACATTTGTCTTCTTTTCCTCCTTTTATTTCACAGCCTTGAAATACCTTTTTTAATAAGAACAATGAAGGGGTAGCTAAGTATTGAATATTCTCTGGAAAAACAATACACATAAAAAGCAGTTGCTTATTTCCAGTGCTTTGATTTAAATGCCTGATTTATATGATCCTCATACTTACAAGAGGCCAGGGGCTGTAAACGGATGACTTTGGTGTATTTGTGGCTTTAATTCATACAACACGATTTTTCTGGAAAAGCTGGCTAATATTTTTGAAGGGTGATGATTTGATTCTATGAGACACATACCTCTTAATCATAGAACCCAGGTCAGAATTGGATGAAAAGAACAAATCCCAACTATTAAAGTCCATGCTTCTGTTCTAAAACAATCATTTATCTTCACTGAGCCTCAGTTTCTCCATGATTAAGAAGGCGACAACACTTCTACCTCATCATCTGAAAGAGTTGTAACAGGATCAAAATAACTAACAGGCACTCTATATAGAGTTCTAGAAATAGTTTAGTATTGCCATTTTATGGTGAGCACCTTGAAGTGAAGAATCTGCCTCAAGTTTATTTGTTTGTTTTTTGACTATAGGAGACTTTCATTATTCTATCGGCGCAGCACATCCTCTGTCTCTATCTTGAAACATTAAGCCTCTTCACAAAGAAATTATTATTTTCCTCCATATTTATCATGTGATTTGAACTGAAATTGTCATGTCCGTAAAAGATTCTGCTCTTATATACAGCAGATGGACTAAGGTGTAATCAATTAACCCAAGCTAGGCTAGAGAACTTCAATGAACTTTTTTTTTTTTTTTTTAAACCTGGAACCAGAGAAACACTCCATCAGTGCCTCTCTGATGATAAAACTGTGACATAAGAGACACACAGCTGCCGTGGCCACATTTCTGCTTATGGGGAGAAAGTCATGAGAAAATCAATCCTGACTGAAAGAGTAAAGACAAGCTGTTGAATTTAGATCTGGCCACAGAGAGAAAAATCTTATCATTTTTAAAATACCTAGTTTTTATAATCTATATTGTGAAGTTGTGCCTTTGTCCCTCTCCTCTCCTATCCTCTCCTCTCCTCTGCTTCTCTTCCTCTCCTCTCCTCTCCTCTCCTCTCTTCTCCTTTCTTTTCTTTTGACAGAGTCTCGCTCTGTCACCCAGGCTGGAGTGTAGTGGGGTGATCAGGGCTCACAGCAACCTCTGCCTCCAGGTTCAAGAGATTCTCCTGTCTCAGCCTCCAGAGTAGCTGGGATTACAGGCACCCGCCACTATGCTCGGATAATTTTTGTATTTTTAGTAGAGACAGGGTTTCACTATGTTGTCCAGGCTGGTCTCAAACTCCTGGGTTCAAGTGATCCGCCCGTCTTGGCCTCCCAAAATGCTGGGATTATAAGCATGAGCCACTGTGCCTGGCCAGGTCTTTCTTATACACAACTTTTAATAGCTAACTCATGTAGTCTAAGCTAGTTCAAATTTGGGTTCTTTCACAACTAGAAGAGTTTGGATATGAAAGAATTCCTGGTACCTATCACAGTGCCTGGAACACATAGGGGCACAGTAAGTGCTTAAATAAATTGGCAAAGAATGACCATGATGATTGGGTGATAAGCAACTCAGGAATTTTACCAAAGAAGCATATTCAGTAATTCGTATATATTTCAAATTGGAACATTTGTTAAACTGATAATATTCTTGTTGACAAAGAAATCCTTAATGATTTCTATAATTAAGTTATTGAACAAACAGTACTCTTTATACATACAATCTTAAAATATACAGTAAAAAAGACCAAAACCTAATAATTAGAGTATTAATGAAGAGACAGCTTTATATATCAAGTCATATAAACTTCAGATAAAGCTTTACTCAGAAACTCAGAAGAAAATGTCTCAAATAATAATAAGGAAAATAAACATAAATAAACTGAACTTTCACCTTAATGCACTATTACAAAAATAAGATAAATAAGATGGTTTTTGATGATTAAAAATAAAAGCTGAAATTTACCCGATAATATTTGAAATAATATAAAAGTTAAAAATATCCCAAAGTTTGCTCTTTAAAATGTCAAAGAAAATATATAAACCTCTAAAAAAACAGAAATAAAAACTAAAGGAGAAAAATAGAACATTAGAAATTATATAACCATCACAATAGAAAAGATTACAAATATAAAATCATACTTTGTACAACTTTAAAGCAATATATTTGAAAGTCAGAAGGAATGGATCATTTCTAGGAAAAAGTATAACTTGTCAAAGATTTATAAGAAAAAGTAGAAAAACTCAATAGGCTAATGACCATAGACACCATTGGAAAGGAGATTCAAGTTTTAATAATTAAAAAATACAGATCTAGGTGATTTTACAGGTAATTTTCATCTACCTTTCAACATAACTTTTAAGATAAGAGATAATTTCTAAATTACTCCATTTTATACCATACTACAGGCAAGGTTAGAAATCTTCATGAAATGGACTGCAATGCCTATGATCCCCCTGCAAATTCCTATGTTGAAATCCTAACTTTCAATGTGTTCCTATTATAGGGTAAGGTCTTTGGGAGATGGTGGGGACAAACGATCTTATAAAACAGACATCACCATGTAAGGTTTCACCATGTGAGGTTATAGAAGAAGATGTTGCCTATGAAGAGAAAAGAGATTCTCACCAGAGACCAATACAATCTACCTAGATCTTGAACTTCTCAGCCGCCAGAACTATGAAATACAAAATTCTGTTGTTTACAAAACTGCTCAGTTTATGGTATTTTGTTATAGTGGCCCAAACAGACTAAGAAATTTTCCAATTCATTTGTAAATCCAACATAATCTTAATACCAATACCTAATAAATATGCTACACAAAAACAAAACACTTTAATTTCACTTACAAAAATTGATAAACATTTTTTGAATAGCATTTCAATGGTATATTAGAAGAAAAATATGATTTCAGAAACATGAAAAGTAGTGTATTTCAGCTTAAAGATATCTGTTAACAAAATTCATTACTTTACCTAATTAAAGTAGAATTTGAATATAATTTTACTCAGGATTTTTTTTAAGTATTGGAAAAAATTCAGCAGCCATTCCCTCTAAAATTTAATTAAGATAGAATTAAGATGTTCTAAATATGATAGAGATTATCAACAGCAAAGTATTGTCATACTAAATGGCAAAATTATATAGCCTTTGCCATTAAAATCAGGAAAATAGAGATGTTCATTATCACAATATTATTCAACATCGTTTTAGAATTTGTTACTAGGAAAATAAAGCATTAAAACAAAATAAGCTACAAACTGCTGGGAAATAATACAACAATGTTAAAGAATATATGATTGGGCTGGGCACGGTGACTCATGCCTGTATTCCCAGCACTTTGGGAGGCCAAGGTGGGCAGATCACCTGAGGTTGGGAGTTCGAGACCAGCCTGACCAACATGGAGAAACCCTGTCTCTACTAAAAATACAAAAGTAGCCAGGCCTGGTGGTGCATGCTTGTAATCCCATCACTTTGGGAGGCCTAGGCAGGTGGATCACAAGGTCAGGAGATCGAGACCATCGTGGCCAACATGGTGAAACCCCGTCTCTACTAAAAATACAAAAATTAACTGGGCTTGGTGGCATGCACCTGTAGTCCCAGCTTCTTGGAAGGTTGAGGCAACAGAATCGCTTGAACCTGGGAGGCAGAGGTTGCAGTGAGCCGAGATCACGCCACTGCACTCCAGCCTGGTGACAGAGCGAGACTCTGTCTTAAAAAAAAAAACAAAGTTCCATATCAATTTTTCAAAGAGTGATTTTAGTATTTAAAAAGTTGGAGAATGACTACATTGATCAGTGGGAAAATGCACAGTTTGAGAAAAATAACTTTGTCTGCAGTAGAGAAGATGGAGGGAGGATAATGTGTGACCATGGGGATTTAGAGGAAGACTGCTGCAATACCCCAGACACGAGAGATGAAAATTGGAATTGGATCAGTGAGCATGAGAAATCAGGGGAAGCAGATATGAAAGACATGAAGAATAAAAGCCTTTTGTGATCTATTTGATATTTGGGGAGTAAAAAAAGAAGGATCTGGGGTTGGTTCAGAGTTTTCAAATTTGGACAAATAAAATAGTAGATAGAAAAGGAAATACAGATTAGAATGTGAAAGTGTTAGTTTCATTTTGAGCTCACTGAATTTTGTGTTCAAGGGTTTGGTTAGAACTCCATGACCATAAACAACCATGATTTTAAGTCCCAAGCAAGACTGTGCTACTGTATCATCATAGAATGCACTCAGATTTTGCTCAGCTATTTTCCAAGTACTTAATATTTAGTATTTGGAAGACCTGCAAGACTATGTAAATCGATTTGACCAAATAACACCCACTGAATATACAGCTACTTGCCTTTCTCTCTGGCCTTCAGCCAGAAGAAAAACATAGTCTGCATGTGGTTGTAATCATAATGCTTACATGATCTTGGCTTCTTTTTCTCTTAGCGTATTTGAACCTCTCTCTATATTATATACATGACATTTTTACTTTTATTTTTATTTATTTATTTTTTTGAGACAGAGTCTCGTTCTGTCGTCCAGGCTGGAGTGCAGTGGCACCATCTCTGTTTCAGCATGTTGGCCAGGCTGGTCTCAAACTCCTGACCTCAGGTGTTCCACCTGCCTCTGCCTCCCAAAGTTCTGGGATTACAGGTGTGAGCCACCACGCCTGGCTGATATTTTTATTCTTTTGAATGAAATAATTCTCCAGGAATATTAGGACAAATGGGTTTGCTCTTCTTAAAACAAAGATAGTCTACAGCCAAGAGCCACATAAGAGATCAAAATGAATCAAAATCAACTCCAAATGTGAAAGCTATTTTTCATTATTCATTAAACAAATTTTTATTTATTACCTTTTATCATGGACAAGCAACATCACTGCATTATTATGTAATATATTAGTAATTAGTTTATACTTTTAAAAACTGATTTCCTATAAATACAGAAGCAAAATTTCTTAATATTTTATCACCTTCAAAGCCTTAGCTTATACTTTGTTTTTCTTCCTTTATTATTTTTAGCAAGACAATGACTTTTGCTAGTGTTTTGTGATTCTCATTTCTCCTGCCTAATTACACATATTTCAAATACACTTTCCATCTCAATTTCTCTGTCTCATCTCAATACCTCTTCCTCCTTTGAAAGTGTGCCTATTCCCCAGAAAATAGAAAGTTTCTTACTTGTTCTTCACCCTGGACCTTGTGAGAGGTGACTGCATAATCCCTACATTTGAAAATTGCCTTCCAGGTCATCAGGCCCTGGAATAAGGCACTTTCTACACCTGGTCCTGGTCTTATGCTTTTATTCACAAAATCACGCTGTGAGTCTATAAAAACTCATTTTCCGGGCCCTCATCTTAGTTCTAATATGATAACTTTAGCATTGATTCAATAGTACAGATATGACATGCTGCAAATAAACAGCAGTCACTTCCATCCAAGCTTGAAGATTTATTATGATGGATGTATTCAGACACACCAGTCTCTTTTTAGAAAATGCAATTTTATGGAAAAATACAAGATAATTGGTCTTTAACTCTTGCAATAAACTTAGAAAGCACCTGCCATATTTAAATTAATACAGTACTTCTCTCCATTAGATTGGGCCTTCTGATTAAGTCAATCATGTGCAAAGATTTTGGCATACCCCATGTGCACTTAGATTGGAAACTGCTTTTTTATGTGGCTATTTTTTTTTAATGATGGGATACTTGTCCGTCTACTAAGAAAAGGAAATTGAAAGTTCTTTATTCAGCCATATATCCTGTCTGTCCTTATCTCAGGCTCAGCTTTTGCTGCACATTGGGCCACATAGGTTGTGGCAAGTTGTTTTGGGTGCAAGAAGATTCTCCAAAGCAATGACCTAGTATTTGAAGCCTGCATTTGAACGCTGGGTCTGCTTCCCGAGATCCCAGACACATCACTCTCTAGGATTTAGTCCCTTTCCCATTGTCTCCATTTCCTCTGACTCTGGCTGCCACGGTGCAGATCAAGAAACTTAGAGAACAGCTTTGCTCCTTTTAATCTCTCTTAAACCAGCAGTAAGAACAAATCAGACCCACATGGCTGGAGCAGCAGAATGCAAAGGGCCAAGGCTGGCATTTTGATCAGCCCTCCCACTTCTAGGGAAAGTCTGGATAATGAGAAGTGAAGAGGTTCCTTCTAGGAACAAATTAAAGCTCAAAAGGTCTACCTGCCTTGAAGCCACTGGTAACTTACAGGCACAGCTCATAAGACTTCTATGGTAACAGGTGAACACATTATCTCTAAGGGATCCTCTTACTGGTAACAACCAGTGATGACCCAATTTCCATGATCCATCTATTTAATTGGATCTCCTAACATGTGTCCAAAGTTCTACTTTAAAAAGAACATTCTTCCTAAACTCATAAACTTTTAGGAGAAGCCCATAATTAACAGAAAATTGGCACAAAAATCATATTATGTTTATTATGAGGAAATCACAGCCAAAGGTCATACCACTATTTTAAAAATGACCTATCTTTCAGTCAGCGATGCCACTACAGACCCAGAACCCGTGTTATGCTGGAGCTCATTTCCCAGCAGAGCTTAGAGATTGCAGAGATCATTAAATTATGAGTTCCTCAGAAATAGTGGTGATATCCTGAGCTTTTTTTTTTTTTTTTCTGTTCCCTCCTGATGGCTGAGCCCCTCCTGACACATAAAGCCATGTGTCATAAGAGTGGAAGGAGAATCCTGGAGCCACCATTTGTGTCCTCATTTGCAGATGCAAATCCTGAGGCCCTGGGAAGTTACAGAATTTGTCTGAGGTGACAGTGATGACTGGTGGAAACAAATCAGAGCTCCTCTCTCCTAATTACAGTCTGCTGTTCTCTCTAAATACTTTCTGTTGCCTCTAACATAAGTGCTTATGAAAATTTGTTTATTGACCAACTTTATATTTTTAATTTAATTTTAATTTTTTTTTTTTTGAGACAGAGTCTCACTCTGTTGCCCAGGCTGGAGTGCAGTGGCGTGAGCCCGGCCCACTGCAACCTCTGTCTCTCAAGTTCAAGTGATTCTCGTGCCTCAGCCTCCCAAGTAGCTGGGATTACAGGCATGTGCCCTCATGCTCAGCTAACTTTTATAATTTTAGTAGAGATAACTTTTATATTTTCGCCATGTTGGCCAGGCTGGTCTCAAACTCCTGACCTCAAGAGATCCTCCCACCTCGGCCTACCAAAGTGCTGGGATTACAGACGTGAGCCACCGCCCCTGGCCTTATTTTTAATTGACAAATCATAATTATATATAATTATGGGGTACAATGTGATGTTATGATATATGTAAACTATGTGGAATGATGTAAATCAAGCTAATTAACACATCCATCACCTCAGATACTTATTATTTTTTGTGGTGAGAACTTTTGAAATTTATTCTTGGCAATTTTGCAATTTACAATCCATTATTATTAGCTGTAGTCACCATGCTATGCAATAGATCTCAAAAATGTATTTCTCCTAACTGAAATTTTGTACCCTTTGACCAACATCTGCTCCTTCCAACCCCCAACCTGAGGCCTCTGGTAACCACTATTCTACTATGTACTTCTAGGAGTTCAACTGTTTTAGATTCTACATATACCTGAGTAGATAAATGTTAATTCAATCATTTGCACTCTGTCACTTAAGGATGCTGTTTGGGAAGTAAGAATTACTCTAGGGCACTTAGAGAGAGAGAGGGAGTGAGTATGTGTGGAGAGAGGGAGAGAGAGAAAGAGAATATGTATACATGACAAGAAATGCATGCAGGGGAGAGGACAGAAGTAAGATTCTATATCTTTTTTTTTTTTTTTTTTTTTTTTGAGATGGAGTTTCCCTCTGTTGCCCAGGCTGGAGTGCAGTGGTGCAATCTCAGCTCACTGCAACCTCCACCTCCCAGGTTCAAGTGATTCTCCTGCCTCAGCCTCCCAAGCAGCTGGAATTACAGGCACCTGCCACCACACCCGGCTAATTTTTATAGTTTTTAGTAGAGACGGGGTTTCACCATGTTAGCCAGGCTGGTCTCAAACTCCTGACCTCAGGTGATCCGCCCGCCTCGGCCTCCCAGAGAGCTGGGATTGCAGGCGTGAGCCACTGCGCCTGGCCGATTCTATATCTTATACTCTGTTACATCAGTATTTACACTGCATACATAGGCTTTATTGGCTACAAAATGACTTGAGGCCTTATATTTGAATATATAAAATAGCAAATCATATATAAAAGTGTCTTGTTCTGATTCATTATTCTTAGTCCACAAGGAAGTGATAAGAGAAGTGAAAATATCTGAAAAAAATTACAGCTCATTCACTGCAGAATCTAAACAGCAATTTCTATACTCCCTAAAAAATGATTTGCTTTGAGCTTTATGGCATTTTTTTTTCCAGATCCTATTGTCTCCATCAAAGGAAAATAAGCAAACTGAAGTGCTAGCCCACCAGCTCTGTCCAGTCCCAACAAGCAAGGGCCTTCCTCTGATGTCAGAGACCTCAGGTTGCAAGAAATGCGAAGGGATTCGAAGGGGCATGCTACAACCTAAATGGAATTCCTTTAAAAAGCACTGTGCAGCAGAAAAGACAAGTATAGTGGCTATTTAATCATCTTCACTATGAAGTGCCAATTCTTTAGAGTCTTATGACATTCATGAATGATGCAGGAGGCGGACATGATGAATGCAGAGCAATTCCCTGCGACAGATACTTTCAGGGAATTTATGCCCCCTCCCCCAAGAACAAAAGGGCTCCTGGGCTCAGTTATCATTTGTTCTGCGAGAGAATTTACAGTCTTTCCAGCAACTCCTTTTACCCTACTCAATAAAGCGCTTATTTTGATATACTGACTGTGATTGTTCAAGAACAACTGTATCCTTGGAAATTCATGTGCAGTGAGCAGTCCTGCTGGCTCACTTTCCCTCACTTCATTCACTTTTGTCATTTCCAGCTTCTACAATCTAGAGGGCTTGGACACGGGTCCCCAAACCACATGTTCACCCATTTAATCAGAGATATACACATAATACATACATAAATGTACACGCATGTATACGAATGTATGTGTGTATGTATATACATAAGTGTGTACATGTACACACATATCTATGCACACACAGACACAGGTTGCTCTATAGTATCTAAAAGCTCAAATGCTGTTTGGGGTGACTGTGAGTTGCAGAATTCTTTACTGTATGGATGGCTACACACACTGTTAAATATGTACTAAAAAGTCTTATTCTCTATCCTCTGCCTAAAGATAATCTGCATGGATAGTAAATTAGTCAATACATTCACAAATATTTATTATGCTCCTTCTATATGCTAGACCCTTTTCTGGGTACTGAAAAGACATTCAGGAACTAGCAAAGTCCTTGACTTAATAGAGATCATACTCTAATAATGATAGCAGACAATAAACAAATAAATGGAATGATAACATAATGTCTGGGAATTTCAAGGGCTAATAAAAGCATGACAAGGGGTAGTCATGATGGGGGAGGGCTGTTTAGAATGGGTTGGGAAGGGCAGGCCCCTCTGAGGGGACAGCAATAGTAATCTGAGTGCAGAGAGGGAGAATGCCCCATGTCTTCTGAAGGAGGAGAGTTCAAGGCAGAGGAAATAAGGGTAAAGGGCTTTAAAAGGAAGTTAAAGGGTGCTTGGCTTGTGTGAGGAACAGCAAGGAAACCAGTGTCGCTGGAGTGGATGATGCAAAGGAGAGAAGGGAAGAAACAAATGATAGCAGAAGACAGAGCAGATTACATAGGTCCTCACAGGAAGCACTTCGTGTGAAGGAGGTCCTTGTCTGATTCTACTCTGAGATGACTGCACAGCTTTCTAAGTAGCTGTGTTCATAACATTTTAAACAGGACATTAAAACTCAGACTTGGGAGGAAGGTAACCAGCATGGAGAGAGGCCTCAAAGTGCTGCTGTATGAAGAACACATGTATGAGCTCAGGATATTTAGCCAGAAACACTTGGAAGCCCATGGGGGCCATCTCAAAACACATAAAGGACGTCAAGTTGAAGGAGGATTATGCGGTTTTGGAAGGCAGAACAAGGACTGATACGTAAAAATTACTGGACTCAAGACCAGAGCTCAAAAGGTGTAAAAGCACTTCCTAGAGCTATCCAATGACAGAATGAAATCTCCAAAAATATAGTCAAAATTTCATCATCAGATGGGTTCTAGTATAGTAGAGACTGAATGGTCACTGTTCAAGGATGTTGGCAGGTCCTTCCTAGATAGTTCCAAAGGGAGCCTTTATAAGAAAAGGAGAATACATGAAAATAGAAATTTTGGACCCTGGTAGGATAAACACATTCAATCTAAATTAGTTATCTTATTTCTCTTGACTAATAAAAGGTCATTTTTGTTTTTCAGCAAATTGCTGCTACCTTTTTCTTAAGAAAATCAGTAGCCATTTGGGAAACAAGAACATTCTACAAAGCCATTTATTTTATTTTTTTTTACAAATACTTTAACACATTGGCAGAAATATCCTGAGGGGTATATACTCTGTCTTTTCAGAAAAACATCCTACTAATGAAACAAGCAATTTAAAAATATTTATTTGACTACTGAAATAGCAGCAAGCCACAGCTCCTTTTTTCTTATCCTGAAAACCCCAGAAGGAACGATGTGGAGGTTAAAATTGGTCCCTCAATATTTTGGTGGACCAGAACAAACATTTCCTTGCTATTATTTCTCCACAATGTCTAACACTGTCTTTCTTAATGGAACTTAATCCCAAGATGGTCAATAACATCAAGGGTTACAGTCCACAACCAGGGGAAGCCATGGCTTAAGAAGTATTTTTTGAAAAGGATCTTTAGTTTTAATCAACAGGTATAAAATTTCAGTAATGCAAGATGAATAAGTTATGGAGATCTCCTGCACAACATAATGTCTACAGTTACTAATACTGTATTGTACACTTAGAAATCTATTAAGAAGATAGATCTCACAGTTAGGTGTTCTTACCACAATAATTTTTTAAAATCTTCTAGAATGTCTTTAAAACAAAAAAATTGTCCACTGCTTCTTAACAGGAAAAGAAATGCTTATGCACACAAGAGTTCATTATGAAGAAGTTATCTTTAAAGTACTTTAAAGGAGAGAAACTATTTAACTAGTATTTTGGGATAGGAGAAAAAGAAAGGAAGGAAAGGAGAAAAGAGAAGACAGGGAGGGGGCAGGGAGGAGGGAGGATTAGTAGGTACCTTATAAGAACTGTAAAATAATTCTTCTGCTATATTCTGGCTAAATGATGTCTAAATTAATACTTCTTTACAGGATAAGTTTTTATATTTTTATGTGGAGAGCAACAAAAATAATGAAAAGAATGAATACATAGAACAAATATGAAAAACTTTAGGAAATCAGAGTCTCTAGGAAATAAAGCAAAAGACTAAGTTACTGTTTGAAGAGAAAAAGTGTTTTCTTCATCAGAGATAAGACTTTCAGAAAAAGGGCTGTGTACTACCTAAGAGGACAACAGAATAAAAAGCAGTAGACAGAAATGGAAACAAGCAAAACAGGAAAGAATTTCTTGACCATCAGGGCTGAGAAACAACAACAGGAGACCTCAAAACTAATTACTGAAGTAGCCCTAGTGGTCTCCAATCCAGTGAAATTTCCAGCACTTCATCCCATTAATTTTTATCATATAAACTCTATATTTTCTTCACGGTTCTTATTCGTTTTTGTCTGCCTCTCCTCAATAAGATGTAAGCTCAATAAAGCTGGAGACCTGTCATAGTCACTGCTGAAACCCTAGAACACTATAGCATGGCATATAGTGAACTTTCATTTAATATTGTTAAATCAATAAATGGATCTTTAAGGAGGCCTGCCCCTAAAAATAGGAGCATAGATCACATTACCTGTCATCACATACTGGCCATTGGTCCCTACCACTCTCCCGCTCACAATTCTCAAATGGATTCCAATTGCCTTAGAATGAAATGAAACTCTTTACAACAGCCCCAAAGGCCCTCCATGATCTGACCCTTGCCAACCTTTCTTACTTTACCTGGCCTCATACTTCCTTTTGCTCACTGCACTACAAGCACTGGGATTTCTTCTGTTCTCCCAGCACATAAACATCTCTGTGGCTTTGGGATCTTTGCACTTGCTCTTTCCTCTTCCCCCAGATGTTTGCATGGCTGGCCTCTTCTTATCAATGAGCCTCAAGCCAAGGGTGATCTCCTGAAAAGCTTTTCTTGACCACAATCAAAAGTAGCAACTTTCCCTCATCCCAGTGGTAATTTTCTATCCCATGAGCAGTAAGGTGTTCTCTACAACTGTTGCCTCATCTCTTCAATCTCCTTCTAGAATGCAAGTCCATGAGAATTGATGTCTGGCTGCCTGGCTTACACCTACACTCTCAATGATCTAATTAATATCTAGCCCAGAGTAGGTACTTAATCATATTGAGTGAATACATTTTTTTTCTTTTTTTCTTTCTTTCTTTTTTTTTTTGAGATGGGGTCTTGCTCTGTCACCAGGCTGGAGTGCAGTGGCGTGATCTCGGCTCACTGCAACCTCTGACTCCCGGGTTCAAGTGATTCTCCTGCCTCAGCCTCCCGAGTAGCTGGGACTACAGGTGTGTGTCACCACACCCGGGTAATTTTTGTATTTTTAGTAGAGACGGGGTTTCACCATGTTGGCCAGGATGGTCTTGATCTCTTGACCTCGTGATCTGCCCGCCTCAGCCTCTAAAATTGCTGGGATTACAGGCATGAGCCACCACTGCCAGCTGAGTGAATACATGTTTAAGAAAATTCATTTTTAAAAATAAGATCTGTTGATTTCTCAAAGTCCTTTATGCTGTTGCTTATTGTGATAACTGCCATATAGTCATCAGGGCTACTTGGAGTTCAGGTAAACCTGAGACACATAGAACAAGGCTTATTTCTCACAATCTCCACAATATGTATGTGTTTATTTGATCCATTTTAATTAATTAATGTTATTTTTAAATTTATTTTTTTAGAGACAAGGTCTGACTCTGTCACCCAGGTTGGACTGCAGTGGTGATCATAACTCACTGCAGTCTAGAACCCCTGCGCTCAAGCAACCCTCCTGACTCAGCCACCCAAGTAGCTGGGACTACAGGCATGGGTCACCATGTCCAGCTAATTTAAAAAAAGGAATTTGTAGTGATGGGTTCTCACTATATTGCTGAGGCTGGTTTTGAACTCTTGGCCTCAAGTGATTTACTGGTGTCAGCCTCCCAAAGTAATGGGATTGCAAGTGTGGGCCACCATGCCCAGCCCTTTGATTCATTTTGATTCATCTGATGCACTGGAAAGGACGGTAGTGGCTTCCTTCTATTTTGTCTGTTATTAAGATAATTAATTAATGTGTACAAAATCATATTAAACTTATCCAAGGGGAGCGCGACAAATCCGAAGCAGTCGTATAACTATTATTAGTTCATATATCCTGTAAGAAAAGCTTTTTTCCACCCAGTGGAATACCAAAAGTAAGTCACTCATAAGAGAAGGGAGGGACATTACATTTGGATATGACTCTTTGGGAAGGCATTCTCTCCAAAGATATGGCAGTGAAAGAGTCAAATTCAATGGACTCAACACTCTCAGCCCAATAGTTCACACGGGTATTTTTCAGAGAAGCAGGATAAATAAACTCTGAAAACCCTATTCTTTCTTTTGCTCTGCTGTAAATGCAATGTATTGATTCAGGTCCCACTACTTCATGGCATTCACATGCTTCAGTAATACAGAGGATTTATTTTCATCCCTTCATCTCAAGGAGCTGGGGCGGCTCTGAACCCCCAGTGCCAACAACTACTTTCCTCCTCCTCCCTTCCTTCTCTACCCAGCACCCCAACAGCTGGATAATGGGGTTAATAAAAAGACTATTACATAAAACACTCCACTGCCATATATGTTAATCCTTTTCACTTCTCAAAAACCAGTGGGGAAGTATTCTAAGGAAGGAATTTGCTGCCAGTGGATAAGATGAATTAGGGTGAGTGCAAGTTAAGTAATCTGGCTTTTACTTAGTAATGAGAAGTAGCTGATGTTGAGAACTAAAAATAGCAAGGAATTTCTTAAGGATAATAAATAGGACAGGACCCTTCTTGCCCCAAAGATTCCTCATTCAGGACACCAGAGGAAATTCTTCCTTATTAAATAATCTTAAATGCTTCAGATTTTCTTTTGGAAAGTGAGCCTATTGGTTTACCTCTAGACCAGACCAGAATTTTAGTTCAATCTTTGCTGTTGGCTGGACTATAATATTGGTTAATTTCTCTATTCTCTCTCATTTTCCAATTCTCCCACATCCTGCAAGACGTAGTACAAGTATCACTTTCTTTATGAAGCTTTTTTATCCATTCAAACAGCTATTTGGCCATCATTTATAAAGCATGTATTACTTCTTCAATAAATACTTATTTAGACCCACTACGGACCAGATCTAATAGAGGTGCCAAAGACACAGGAAAAAAAAGAGAAAATGAGTTAGCTTCTCCAGTTCCCTAACTTCATACAAGTTTGTATCTTTTTATCCTTCTTCTTCATAAAAAAATCTCAATAAATACTGTAGAATGAAGAAGCTAAAGACATGCATTTCATAATTTCCTCAACTGTGCAAGGAGGAAGTCAAATACATGAACTCTAAGGGTCTCTGCTGTTCTAACACCTATATTGTAAATGATTTTACATTACTTACTGTAGCTGTATAGAAGATAACTTTGACTAATTGACAAGACCAGGCTGCAATAAATGGACTATCACCAAGTTGTCTGTGTACCCTTTGAAGTGGAAATCATGCACACAGAGCCAGCTGATCCTAGCAAGTCACAGATGCTGCTTTTGGCCTCGCCGGCTCATTTCTCTCCCCATCGGGAGGATTGCCATAAACACTAAACTTCACTGGGAAATGCAGTACAGGAATTCAGACATTTTAAGGCAGACACTGATCACACGGAACAGTTGAACGTCTAGGGTGTCCCTGCTCAAGGTTCTACCAAAAGATAAAATAAAGAAGCAAAAAAGGTAAGTCCATATTTACAGAACAATAAAATAACTAAATGAAGAAAAATAAAATCAGCAAATCAGGCTTTGTGTCTAGACCCAACAATAGTGTTTTTTTCTTTAGCTGAAGTTGGGCACATTTCAGACGCCTGCTTTTTAAGAACAAAATGAAAAAGAATCAGAGTTTCTCCAGGTTCCTTCTGGTATCTGTAATATTTGCTGAGTGTCTTTCCCAGTTGCCAACCATGTCCTGTCCCTGCTGTGTAGCAGAAACCTTATTTTCTCTGAATAATCAAGGTTATAGCAAAAGTTTTTGTTTTTGTTTTCTATAGGCTTACTGGCAAGAGAAGCCCAAAATAACCAGTTGATAAATTTAGCATCCAGTTCAGGGGAACCATTATTATTATGAGCCCTGGTAGAAGCAGCTCTTTCTGATAAATCATATGCACAAACTCCCCATGAACATTACTTAAAGAATCTTAGCTTAGTTTTGTCTCTCCAAATTATAGCAAACTTGGTTCTGTTTTCCTGAGACTCTATTTTTATTGCCCAGCATACAGGCTGTTAAGAACACCAGACAGAATAATCTAAGCAAACAAAACAATGCTTATATCATCATAAGTACTCTGTATTACATATTTTTATTAGCATTAGTATTATTTTGCTGTCTTCTCCTTGTTCTGTCATTACACAAGGAATCCTTAACTGGTAGGAAAAATAATTAATGAAGTATCTAAAATTCTCTGTCTTATTGCAATGTCCTTGGCCACAGGCTTTTTATGGCCCCAGCCCTGATGCTTCCTATACTCACCTAGAATGAGGAGAAGAAATGAGAAAAGCATGGGAGAGAAAATGAAATAGAATAATCACAAATAGATTAATAGCACATGGGCTGATAAAACATGTATCCTGAATTTGGCGGAGAAGGAGGACAGTTTTTTTTTTTGTCGTTTGTTTGTTTTTTAAAGTTTGCTTCCATCTTATTGAACAGGTCATTTTAGTCTTTGCTTTGGCTGAAGATTACTTCACACACACATACTGTGTGTGTGTGAAGAAAGAATATGCTTTTCTTCATATTCACACTCTCCATCCATATGATTTGCTTTGATGCCCCTCTAAGATTTTCTGTTTGTCGGTCGGGTGTGGTGGCTCACGCCTGTAATCCCAGCACTTTGGGAGGCCGCGGCGGGCAGATCACGAGGTCAGGAGATCGAGACCATCCTGGCTAACACGGTGAAACCCCGTCTCTACTAAAAATACAAACAAATTAGCCGGGTGCGGTGGCGGGCGCCTGTAGTTCCAGCTACTCGGGAGGCTGAGGCAGGAGAATGGCGTGAACCCGGGAGGCGGAGCTTGCAGTGAGCCAAGATCGCACCACTGCACTCCAGCCTGGACAACAGAGCGAGACTCCGTCTCAAAAAAAAAAAAAAAAAAAAAAAAAAAAAAAGATTTTCTGTTTGTCCAGGGATATTCTTTCAGCATTTTGTTTGGACAGCTGTTTATTTCCCTCAAAATTTTTAGAATTGAAAATGAAGACCAGGCCAAGAACTTGCTACAGAGATCCAGGTCTCTTTGCTACTCTTTGCTACCTTCTCAAGTATGGGTTTCTATTTAAAAAAAAAGAAACACTGTGCTCTTTGTTCAAAACCCTATGAGATTATTTAAAAGGTGATTTTCCTAACAAGGGAAAATTTGAAACCTATAATCCGTAACAACATTAATTCAGTACTGATCATATTGTTAATTATTTTTGGAACAGAATGGCCCTTGCCACATTGGTCAATTATCAGAGTTGTTGGGTTAACCTAAGCATTTCTTCGACTTCAATTCATTTTCTTATGCGACTTGATCCTGTAGCAAGCTTACCGTATACTAAATTTGTCTCCTGAATAGCATATGGATCTAGCAACCTATTACCCCAGAGTCTCATATATCTATTAATAAAGAACTAGAGCCATCTAAGCTAGCACACCAGATGGTGCCTAATTTACCCAATAAATATATTACCGTAAATAATCGTACTGAGTACTCCTACTCTCGATGCTGGTCTCTAGAATTAAAAAAAATTTTTTTTTGAAAGTGTGGTCGTTTTTAAAATCAGTATCTTTGTTTTGGAGCATACTCTTCCCCTATTACAATGACAACAACAAATATTTATTTAGAATCTTTTATGTATTGGCCACTGGGTGAAGTTCTAGAGTTACAGAGATTTATACAAATCCAGACACCACTGCTCTAAATATACTATGGGGATCAATTCATCAGAAAAGATATTGTAAACATACAAATTACAAATTTGTTATGATAAGTGTGCTGGGGTAGGAAGAGATGGATTATTTCACTTGTGTCAGTGATATTAATAAATAAATAACTACTTATGAGGAGCATCCAGTATTTTCCAGGCATGCTGTTCATACGCCTTGTTGTCAATCTTTAAGAAACAATAGTAACAACACTATTAGGTAGATATTAGCATTTCTATTTTAAAGATAAGAAAACTGAGGTATAGAAGGTAAAGGGCTTTTACAAAGTTGTACAGCTAAAAAGGGGCTCAATTAGAATTCAAATCACTTTCTGCCTTGGCTGAATCCAAAGGCTCTTAACCATTACACCAAACTGCCTTCTCATGTTAATTTGATCTTGCCATCCAGGCTATAAGCTTCCATAGGGTAAATGCTAAAACCATCCACTTCTTTTCCTTACTCCTTCACTAGGTTGGTGCCCAAAAAAATATTTTATGAAAGGTTTGTTTTTAGCAGTAAATGCATAGCTCATTTCTCTAAGGAACAGTGAACTTCGCAGTGCTCAATACTTGCTTGGTACAATTTATACTGCTCCACTTCTTCACCTTATAAAAATGGCATATATCATCTCTGAACCAGCATAAGAGCCCACAAAAAACAGGATGGACTTGGAAAGCTACCCATGTGATGTTTATGTATAAATTAATGATTATTATTGATAATATATTGATTGCTGAGTTAAATCTATTTTCACATCCATTGTCAAGTAGCTTCTAACATTAAAACCATTTTAAGAGATGCAAGACAAACAGGAAAGAAAATGTAGAAATGATTACGACTTTACTTGAAAATTTTAACATGGCTTGACAGAATGAGAAAATAATTCTTTGAGATATAGAGTTGAGTTGGAAAGAGACTTTTAACTTCTCCATTGAATATTTATTTTATTTTCTTTAAATAAAATGAGCAAATGATACCTGGCAGGTCAGGTCTCCAGAGACCCTGAGCTAGGAAGCAAAACATACCTTTTGGTTTTGATTTTCTGAAAATAATACTTAGCTCCATGCAAACAAAAAATGGTCTTGTCTCTGGTCTTGGAGCAATGTCACTGGGATGCAGGCCATCAAATCTGTAACTGCATGGCACCGTGGTGGCCATTAGCAAGTAAATGACACTGTTTTCCACTTTTAATTCCCAAGGCAAATGTGTTCATAAATATTAATTTTATTAAATGTATATTAAATTATAAATGTTTAATGTCTACTTAAACCTCAAAATTTAATGCTTTCTGAGTAGAGAAGTCAAATAATTTGGTGATACATGCAGTTTATCTTGTAAGTACAATGTCAATTGAACCATTTCATCACACATACGTATACTCACACCCACATGCTTTCTATGTACAACAGACTATGTAAACACTCTCTTTGGTGGGTGGCATGCAGGTGCTGTGTTTCTCAGCAGCTTGTAGAATCAAATCTGAGGTTTCACAAAAGGAGCCAGAATGCATCTTGCAGAGAAAATAACTGCATGAAAGAAAGTGGAAAATGTGGTTCTATTTACTTCAAAATCTTGTTTCAATGTATGGTGCATGGCCCATGCCAAACATCAGGGTAGAAACTGTGTGCAACAGGCTTAATCTACAACAGATATCAAATCATGACTAACTGTACACTTGGGTGATCAGCCGGGCATAAGTGAAGTCATCGGGCTTCTACTTGGAGGCTCAATGGCACCTTTCTCTTATTATCTTATACATTTTGATTCCATCTACATATGCACAAATGGCATAAACAAAGTCTTTTCCAAAAATGCTCTTTCAGGTACTCTGAACTCAAATTCCAGTTTTTATTTCACATTCCCTTGAGATTTAATTAGACACATATTTGTTTAAAATAGCTTTTGAGGAGGTAAAAACTAGAAGTTACTGGCAGAAAACTTACAGCTCTTTGTTGTTGCTGCTCTACTCAGTTAGTTGTTTATAAAACACCTAGAAAGAGTTACAGATATTATAAAGTGCTTACTTGAAAAATCTAGTCTAAACTATTCATAGGCAGACAAACATCAGTGACAGAAAATCCATACATTAATAAAGAGGCCTTTTTAGTACTTCTTTACCTGGAACCACTTTGGAAGCCGCCCTTATTAAGCACTTTATCAAACACAATTTAGGAAACAAGGCACCTTCCTCCTCTATTTACCCTAACCAAGTTTGGTTTGTCTCGTCTAAATCCAAACCGAACTTTTATTAACAAACTCAACCAGGATACCTAGATAGAGAATATCTTGGGCTGAGTCCAACCCATAAGCAGATCCTAAGACATGGATTCGAGGGCAAATGATTGATAAGGAAGCACTCCCACGCAGAGGGAAAGGGGAGTCCAGACAAGGCTACAGTCCCAGGCAAAGTGCCAGAGCTGGCAGCAGCCCGATCCCAGGAGAAAATGCTGGTGGACACCTTGCACCTACCCGAGTTTTTCCAGCCAGAGGCAATAGAGTAGTAGACTGAGGACAACTTTCTTAAGAACAAGCCATGCTGGCTATTGCAAGAGAAGCCACGCTGAGGCCTGGGGGTACAAAAATAATCAAAAAGGGAACTAAAAAAATTGAATGAGATCACCAATATTATCTGATACAGATGGATAAATTTTTAATTGAAACATTCTAAAGGAACTTATTTAGAACATTTAAATGTAAAACTCATTTTACATTTGAGGACAGCATGACTCAAAGAGGTCCAGTGACTTCCCCAGGATCACAGAGATTGTATGTGGCAGATTTAGGTTGATGAGGATGTAGTGCTCCCAACTTTCAGCTCAGGGGACTTCCCATTTCTCTCAGCTGCCAGCAAAAGCTACACATGCTCAAATCACCCCAGAAGTCTGCAGAGATTGCCTGCTTCAGGATTATCTGTGAGGTTCGGCAGCCATGCCATGTTCAGGAGCACAGTTCTGTTCTCTTCCGTAGCTGCATCTTTTCTACTACCCTAGAGACAGATGGGGGTCTTAACAACATGATGTATCAATCTGACATGGCTGCATTGGTTACCTGAGAAGACACTGCAGCAAAGACAATGCAAATTCGATTTTTAAGAATGCCTGGGTATTTAAACTAGAGGTTTAATGGGTTCTCAGATGGAGCTTTTTTTTTTTTTTAGAACGCACATTTCAGGATTAACATGTGAATCCTCAATACTTGCAAAATAGCCCGGGGAAAAAACTGTGGGAGCTATTCATCACAATGAAAATTAGGTTTCTGAAGTTGGGACAAAGATATTTCTTGAAGTGTCACTATTTATCCAAAAGATCATTCCAGACACTGGGAACTATATGCATGAAAGCGCTGAGGTATAAAACACCATGAAGGGAAAGAACGTATAAGCAGCTCAGAATTTGGGGAAAAGAAAAGCAAAAAGCAAGGGGTAGAGGTGTGGGTGGGGGCAGGTGGGAGAGCCAAGAGATAAGGTCCACAGAGGTAGGCTAGAGATAGATTCGGAAGGGCCTTTGACATGCTACTAAGCACCATGGATTAGTGATTCATGGAGATGAGAAACACTAAAAGGTTTTTACACAGGGGGAGCCACAACAAGGTTTGCAACACAGAAAGTTGAATTTGGCAACTGTGTGCAGCGTGGACAAGGTGGTCCAGGAGAGAGGCAGTGGGAGGTGTTGCAATAAAGCCTGGAGGTAGATAACGGAGTGCAGGCTGAGGCAGTTTCTGAATGAAAAGCAGAGAAGAAATTTTAAAAGCAGGGTTGGTGGAACAGAGAGGACTTAATCCAATTAGTAATGAACAGCAATGATTTTAGTGGTACCTGCAGTCCTCACTGTTGCGAAAAAGGATGCTTCCTAACCAAATTAGACTTGTAATTCTCCTTTTCCCTAGGATGCTGCCTGCCCAATAAAAACAAACAGTATGTCTTTTCTTAGCAGATCAAGATCACTTACATATACACTGTACTTGAAAATAACTTGGCCGCTACTAATGTGGGGATTTGGGAATGGAGGGGGAAGGAGGAGAAGAGGAAGAGATGATTCCTGAAATAGAAACAAGCCAGTGGCATACAGCTGGGTAAGCAGTCTGAAATAGTTACAAACAGCTCAAGAATGATTATAATTAGAAAACATATCCATGGACCTCTATACAGCAAAGCTGTAGCTCTATTACAACTTTCAGTATGTCATTGTGGACTGCTGAAATGAGACTGGGTGCATTCAAACACCAGAGAGGAAAGGAAAAGTGTTTTTATTTTACAAATCAAACAAGAAAAAAGAAAAAGAAGAATAACTACTACTATTCTTATTACAACTATCAAGGAAGACACCAAAGACAGAAAGAAGTGCTTTTTATCAGTTTCAGAACACAGTCACAGAAATGGTCTTTATTATAAAGGCCCTTTATTCCTTATAACCTCAATGGTTTAACCTGGTTCCAGGCACTTTTGGAGCAGTGTCCCCCAATGAAAAAGCGGCACCTCTATGGGTAATGTCATAGGTTATATTAGACACATGGAGGCAGTGGTCAGAGGGCATTCCGAGCAGAACTCACTGCATTCCAGAACCTATTACTTCCATCAAGGAGAGCCTCTCTCCCTTTTTATCAAACAATTAGATATATTTAATATTTAATTAAATATTTGCCAAGTGTGGTGGTTCGTGCCTGTAATCCTAGCACTTTGGGAGGCCGAGGTGTGAGGATCCCTTCAGTCCGAGAGTTTGAGACCAGCCTGGGCAACACAGGGAGACCTCATCTCTACAAAAAATTAAAAATCAGCCAAGTGTGATGGTCCATGCCTATAGTCCCAGCTCCTCAGGAGGCTGTGGCAGGAGGATAGCCTGAGCTCAGGAGATTGGGACTGCAGTGAGCTATGATCATGCCACTGCACTTAGCCTGGGTGACAGAGCGAGATCCTGTCTCAAAACAAACAAACAAAGAATGTATGTGTGTGTGTGTGTGTGTGTGTGTGTGTGTGTGTGTATCTTAGTGTTCTACATCCTTGCCAACCAATAAGGAAAAGAAAGAGGTATTCATTGCCAGGTTCAATATAGAGATAGGGGATCCTTTATTTGAAGGTTGAGTTTTTTTGAAACCAGCTCTGATTCTTGACTTTTCCAGTGAGATTCTGTCCCACAACATCTTTCATGTCCCAATCCCACCAGCAACACGTGCACAAAAGATTTTTTCCTATTTAGCAATCTCTGGCAGTTGCAAACTTTCTCTACTTACCTCATCCCAGGCCTCAATGAAAGTAATGGCTTTTTTTTTTTTTTGAGCAAATTTCCTCCTCCCTTTCTTTTGCCCTGACTTTGATTCACCTGTCGATTGACATTCTTGCTTCATTACTTGCTGATAGCTCCAAATGCAACTCTGATCCCTCAGCAAATTACTTCTAATCATTTCCTTCCTTAACATTATCACTTCAGTGGACTGCCAGGGGCATTCAGCAGCCTGTGGAAGATCAGAAGCCCGTTGTGGCTCTGAGCTCCACAATTTTTGGCCTTGAATCAGATATTCAGTTGCAGTGGATGTGCTACTGAATTCAGCCTTCAAGATTAGGGTGCTCATCCTCCAGATGTTGGAAGTCCTGGCTGCGGACAACTTGCACCAAACCTCAGTCCCTCTCCAGAACCGGATTCAGTCAATGGGTGTGGCCTCATATGGTGACTGGATGTTTGGATGGGCACGGGAGGTACAAAGACTCAGATCCGTTTATGCAATTTAGGTCATCTCAGAAGGGACAACCTAACTTCAGAGCTCACCGTGGGACTGGCTGAGGCTTTAGCCGCACTTGCATCTCAGACCAAATTATCCTTCTATCCCATGCCTGCTTCCCTCACTTTCATTCAGAAACTGTTTCACAGGGGACCCTCCCCACCCCAAATCCCCTGCACTCAATCTTCACCTCAGTGTTCCCAACTTGACAGAAGGCAGCAGTGAAAAGTTCTGCTCTCTCACGCTTTGCGATTCATTTGCATAGTGTTTCTTATGAAGAGAATACGCCATCGTACCTGCACCACTGACATGAGTTTTTGTTACCTGGATTGTTCATTTTTGAATGCCTAATAGCATTTCCGGCCATGGGCCTTTTTGCTTTCCTGACCCACTCTGAGAGGCCTTGACATTATTCACCAGGTGGCAGGTGTTCATGAAGAGACAGAAAACATGGAGCCAGTTGAAAGAGGATTTACATTTTTATTAAGCTTCTTTGACTTCAGCTTGATTTTTTTTTTAAGAATTGGTCTCATTTTTTCCAAATTGTGCACCTGTGCGCATGGCTGCCTCTGGGCTGAATCTCATTCTTTATTTTCTAATCTAGAGCTAAGTGGGGTATGTGTGGATATTGGGTAACCAGTGCCAGAGATTTCACAGTATCATTTGCCACTTGTTTTGTTTCAGAAAAATGTTATTGCTTCTTGTGATTATCATCTAAAAGTCTGGCCAGATATTGAGTCTTGTCTGATTAGTGCTACGTGCTACAGGTGAGCCCACAGTGTTGCTTAACCTCTAGCAAGCATATGTATTAAATGGAGAGGTTGTAAAATGTAGATTCCTGGGTGCCATTCCTTAGTGACCTTATTCAGTGGGTCTAAGGTGAGGACAAAGCTTCTGAAATTTCCTCAAGCATGCCAGGTGACAGAGGTTCAACTTTTGCATTGTGAAAGACTGGATCCTACGTTCTATGTTTTCTCTGCAAAAGAACCACTCCAGGTGATAATTAAACACACAGTTAAAGGCTTCTAAATAGGCAAGAGCTGTGTTGCACGGAATAAAGTTTTAGCTAGACCCATCTAGACCAGATATAATGAATAAAAAATGGCAAGTGTTCAAGTGGACCAGTGTTATCATCTATGAAATGTTGCCAGGTATTAAAATCTTATTTCACTAGTTCCTTCATATCACTCTCTCACTTCCTGGTACCAAAATTTAACATCTATTAGATATCGTGAACATATGAAACGAGCACTTTAAACTGGTGAGTTTTTTTCTTTTTCATCTGGAATACAAGAAAAAGAGAATTGGGGTCCCACTGCTATTTACCTAAGTATTTTTTTTAAAAAACTAGTGTGAGTCTGGAGACATAACAAAGACCTACCCACACACTAAGGTAGAGAGAATGCTAGTGGTCAGGAGAGTTAAGAGGGGCAAAACCTTTCGGCATTGAATTCTCTGGACACCCACTTAGGCTTCTGACTTCAAGTGCTGTGATCTGAAAGAACTGTAGCTGTTCTTGCGGGGGTCAAGAACAACCAGGATGTCCCAACAGTCCTTCTTTTTTCTTTTAGGATTTCCCAAGTCTGTAACAATCATCTTCTTTTCAAAAAGAACAAAAACCTGAATTCCTCCTAAGAGGTAAATTGGAAATTCCTCAAAATGTTTCAATTATTGCACATATGGCATTCCAAAGAATACCCACGTTTCTTTCTGCAGACATTCTTCCCTCTGAATTATGAAGCACAATGGATCCAACCTCTTTCATTTACTGCACTATAAATTTAGAATGTAGCACTGCTTTGTGAAGATTACATTGTTAGGTGCCGGGGAAAACCAAAAGGTAACAAGAAATATATGACTCTAAATTAAGATGAAAGTGAATAGCAAAAGAAGCATTATTCAGGCACCCAAGACACACATCTTCTGACAGTCCCCTCACCCTCAGTCCATACATTTACTGCAGTGTGAAATAATAAACTGTAGCTTGAGAACTCGGTCACCAGAATTGCATGTGTCTGCATCTCAGTAACACGTGCCAATCACAAAAGATTCAGAAGCCCACTGGACAAAGTAGATTAAACATTCAAAATCATGACAGAAGACCTCATGATTTTTTAAATTTCTATCCCTGAAACAAAAGCTCACAGTTTAGAATTTTCAGTATTATCACTAAAACCTTATTTCTGAAAATAGAAAAAATAACTGTTTCAAGATACTTTAGAATATTAAGGATGTTAACCAAAATTATTCAATAATATGTGTGATTGAAAATGGGGAAGGGAGAAGTGAAATATTCTTCTTTCAGACTGGGGGTCTTCTCAAGGTTAGTACTTTAACACAATATATGAGATCTTTTTATTAAAAATAATACCAACAGAAGATGGGAACAATCATAGAAGCGCCTTGTCAATTGAAGAGAAAATAATAGTACTTTACATTCTGTTTAGAGGTAGGAGAACAGCACAGAGGCCAGCAACTGGTTTCTCCTGAAGCTGAGGTAGCAGGTTATCAGGCAGTCCTTCCAAATGAGAAGACATTTGAATCTCATGGATCACTGGCAGTGGTTGGTCAAAGGTGAAGTAGGAAAGATTATTTTAACCAAAGAAGATCCTGAGCAAAAGTATGGAAATATAAAAATATATGGCAATTTTAGGATGTCATAATCCGAAGTGGTTAAGATGAATTAAAGACACATATTTAGAAATGGCAGGTGCTATCTGCAAAACTAAAAAAAATGATTGAGATGAGATATTACACTGAGGGGCCCCATTTCTCAGGGAATAATTAATTCGGTAATTATTGAGGACCATTGTTGGCTTATTTACTTGGGAATGATATGATCAGATTTAAGTCATCAAGTATAACATTGGCTACATGCAGAGGACAGACTGTAGTAGGGAGAAAAGCAAGGATACCATTATTAAGCTACTGTCATGTAAAGGATAATAAGGTCTGTGACTAGATCACTGAAGAGAAATTAATGGAGTAAAAAGATAGATACATTTCAGATGAAGAGTCAACATAATTTAGTAATAAATTAGAAGTCTATTAATAGAACTTAATACTGCGTAGAGTTTTTTTTTCTTAATTTTTTTAAAAGAAACAGTAAGGCAGGTTCATTTTAAATTTATGTACAACTAAAACTTTTACATCTTGTTTAGTGTAAAGTTCTGTCAGTCCAAAACTCCTATACCTGGTACTTGCAAACTTGATTTATTTAATCAAAATATAGGATTTTACATTCATTTCTTTTAAAGCTTCTTTTGTTAGATTTTATTTCTTTGCTTAGGCTGTCAATACAGTTTTAATCTTGATCCATCATCTGTTATTACTTAAAAATTCTAAGTATAAAACATTGAATTTTCATTAATTGTTATATGACACCTGGTTAAATGTAGACAGTGTAGTACTCTAATCTCTTAAAAGACTTCATTTTGGGTCAGCATAGAGCCAACAATTAATATACTCTCTATACTATATTCTACAGTTTTGATTTTAGCAAACACTAATTGTAGAATCATAACAAATTTGAAAGTCATATAGGTCAAGTCTCTGCTGAAGTGTATTTCTATACCTAACCAATTCTCAGACAAAGGTCTACACAAGCTTGCAAACTTATGGCAGAGGGCTAGAGCCAGGTATTTGCTTCTCAGACTTGCCATTCTTAGATAGGTATCTCAGTTCTTTTGTTTGCAAGATACGAAGAATTTTTTTTAATGACCTTCTTTAGTTTACAGGTTGTGAATAAAGACTAAAGTCATCTTTTCAGCTATGCATTCAGTCCTGGATCTGAGAAAGGAGGTAAGAGCCAGAGGCCCCGATGTATAGTACTCAGTGAGAGGATGGTAATTTCTGTGTGCTCAAAATATATGAGGGAGGAGTCACAAAGCTATGTGGTCACTTTTTGGAAAAGGTAATATGTGTTTGTAAGTTAAAATGATTCTCAAAAATAAAAGCAGCAGAATCCAATGGACTTCTAAAAAGATCAATAACTTTTATTTACAAGTAAATAGTCATAAATGTAAGAACAGCAGAAGAGGGGTAAGCTAATTAGTAATAAGCAAAAATTATCTCCTTATATGGCCTTTTCTCAAACAATAACTTTAAAAAACTCATAACATATTGCAAACATCTTCATGGAGACAGTTATGTGGTACCTGGATCACCTTCCTATTGCAGTGAGCAGAAAATTCTCCAGACAACAGAACCAAATCTTGCTAATGAGTTTTTGTACTCAGAATATATAAGGAATAGAGATTTTTTAAAAGTAATCAGAACAGTGAAGAAAGAGAAGAAAATTCAAGAAGATGTGACCTTTATGATTCATTAGCTTCTCCTTTGTTTGCCAAAGCTGCAGGCCAAACTTTCACCTTGAGTCTTGGCTAGTCACATGGGAAACCCAGAAGCAATAATTGGGTGTGCAACTACCATTTGCACAAATAAACCTGTTAATTTTTCAGTCAAATGAATCTCTAAGGAGGGAGATTCAACAAACTGTGATACAACAAAACATGACCTCTATCACTCATCACGTTTGAGGTACCTGATATAGACTCCAGAACAGCAAAATTCTCACCAGCAAGATAGATACATCCTGTCTTCAAGATATAAGGAGGCTTCACAAACGCAGTCTTAAGTGTCAACCCAGATATAGGAATATGGAATTTTTCTTTTCAGACACCTGAACTATTTATTCTGTCGAGGACAATTTCACAGAAAACCAGATTAGGGCTTACTTTTTAGCTATTAGGTGAAGAATTTTGAAAATAATTTACTGTACATACTGATAGACCTATTAAATCCAGTTGAATGATGAAAATTATACAATGAGATCTGAGATCCTAGATGGAAAAAACTTAATTTTGAAGTATTCTTTTTTTTTTTCCTGACAACAAGATACAGAAATGAATAACTTATAGGCAACCTGAATGCATTGTAGCCTTAATTTCTAATATCAAGATGCTTAAAACTCTTTCACTCTCCAAAGATATTGTATACAAGACAATTTTTCTCATATGGCATTGAAGTCCCTTGGTTCAAGAACTAACTGTCCTTCTGTAGAAGGATACTCACTTATTTCACTGTAAGTAGGGAAAGTGTTTTCTGGTTGTTTCTTCAAGAGGTGACGATAGATCTGGGTAAGTCAATGACTAGAAGCCCTTGCGAAGAAGTACATGCATCTGCAAAGGGCTTGGAGTGGCAGTTCACAGCTGCTATCATTTGGCGATCGTAATGGCAGCCTCATGCACTAGTGTTTCTGGAGCAATATCTATTGAGCTATCCAGTTTAATAACAAGAGTTACACTTTATGAAATTATATTATGTGCCAGGCACTATGCTAGACAGTTTCTTTTTACCTTTACATAGTTCCTACGAGAAACTCTTGTTACTCACATTTTAGAGACGAGGAAACTAATGTTCAAACAGGTTAAGAAATTTGGCCAGGATCACCCAGCAAAGGATTCAAACTCAAAAAGAAATTCACTCCAGAAGCCACATTCTTACTGATGACTCCACAATGTCACTTTGTTAAATAATGTGTGCCAGACAACGGAGCCCTATGGTTGAATAGGAAAAGTGGGTCGCCTTATCTATAGAAGGATTGGACCCATTTGTCTGGACTGGTACTATACACGAATCGATTTCTCAAAAACACCATCTGGCATCTTACATATACAAGAAGAGCTCATCTATATTTGCTTAACTTTGAAAAAAAAGATTATCAAATTCTGTGATTTCATGTCACCTCTAACTAGGTTGCGTCTGGTATTAAATTCACCAGAGGGAGTACAACTGGTGGGGGCTCCGCAATGCACAGTCCTAATTTAATTTATTATCAGGAACATCTTCCCAGAGATCACTTAAAAACACACTTTTCTCATAAGAATTTGTTAAATAGTCTAACAATCTATAAAAAGTAAAAATTAATTGACAAAGAATAATGTTCTGCATTTATTCTCTTCAAGAACATATCTGCCCACTCCTATTCCCCCATCCTTGCTAATTCCTACTGTATTTATTTTAATACAGGATTTTATAGAATCTGCTTCAAACTCAGAACTAAGAAGATTTTCAGGTACTGAATTCATACTAGGGAAACCTACCTTGTGATTCTAATCCTCCGTCTTGCTTACTTCTCATTTCTCACATTTTCCACAACTTAGGAAAAAAGGAAGTAGTTACACTCTTGTACCCCCAGCTGATTTTGCTATATATTTAGATGGTCAATAAAATTCTTAAAAGTGTTACACTTATATATGTATATATAATATATGTAAGAAAAAACTTATACCCACATGCAGTATGAATATACCTTTGTTTTGATTTCTCTGTTTAGAATTTAAAGAATATTTCCACTGAATTTCATGTCTTATCTTTAAACCGAGTTCATCCTGTATATACAACCTACATAATTTGTGTTGTTTCCACCAAAAGAGGTATTTGACCAAGTGAAGGTACTAGGCAGACATGGTTCTGTCTCTTAAAGACAAATAAAAGATAATATTATTTTTTTAATTAAAAAATAAAATAAAAGAAAGAAAAAGCTGAGACACTCAAATAAGTTTTAGAAGTAGTATTTCCCAAAACAAAACATACGACGACTTTACATTTTCTGTCAGGCTCCTGAAAAACCTTGATAAAATGTTCAACAAATGGGCTATTTGAAATCAGACTTTAATCAAGGTTAGATGGGGGCATGAAGGAGCGAATGAAGATGGATATATCCTCCATTGCCAGATATTAAAGCAGTGCCCCCTAATCAGAGTCAGGTACTCCCAGTATCATAAGACTTATTAAATTGTTATGTATTTGCATAGCCATTCACCCACCAACACACACAGATCGAAACACACACACACACGCACACACACACGTGCAGAACGTGGGAATGGGATCCTCGATCTTATTACTCTCTCTCGATGTAGCACTCAGGCCAGTGCCTGGTCCCTTAGAAAAGTTTAGCAATTCCTTGAATAAATGAATGGCTGCTTTGAGACAATAAGTTTTTAATTTTTTTTTTTTTTTTTGAGATGGAGTCTCGCTCTGTCGCCAGGCTGGAGTGCAGTGGTGCGATCTCAGCTCTCTTCAACCTCCAACTCCAGGGTTCAAGCAATTCTCCTGCCTCAGCCTCCTGAGTAGCCGGGATTACAGGCACATGCCACCACTCCCGACCAATTTTTGTATTTTTAGTAGAGATGGGGTTTCACCATGTTGGCCAGGCTGGTCTCGAACTCCTGGTCTCAAGTGAGTGACCCGACCTGAAGTGAGTCACCCACCTTGGCCTCCCAAAGTGCTGGGATTACAGGCGTGAGCCACTGCGTCCAGACTTTAATTTTTTACTCACCATTCATTTACATGTATCTTTCAAGAAGAACAATTTTGTGTGTGTTGTGTGTGTTTGTGTGTGTGTGTGTTTGTGTGTGTGTTTGCTAAGGAGACTGAAGTAGAATGGGAAGAGTAAAACTTAAAAATGGAACTCACCAACATTTACCACATAAAAAGACAAACCTTGCGAGGAAAGTTGAAAAAGGAAATTTAGTGAGTTATTCTGATATTCCCATTTGACACATTCAGACGGCTACCTAAAGTTTCTGCTTTTCATCTGGTACACTAGAGACCCTCACAGACTTTTACAGTTCCCTGAGGCTGTTTACAGGTCTTCTGATTGCTTTGGTGAAAGCTCTTTGCATCTCTCCTCCTGTTAGTTGAAACACGCCTCTTAAAAAGCAGGTCAATAGGATTGCCAATATCTTCCTCTATCTAATATGGCTCCTAATTTTAGCCATTTCTGTTAAATCTCTTACAGAAGGAAAAAACTGATCAAATAATAGTGAAAAATATTCAACCCCAAAACTCACAATTATACTAAAATGCTCAATGTCACTTTAAAATATATATTTTTTGGAAACCCAAAAGAACAAACAAAAACAGACGCAGGCTAAAGAATAAAACACCCAGGGGAGAATTCTTACTGACAAGTTTAAAAAACAACACTAATATAGAGTAAGGATATTTTATAGCACTTCTATACAGGGAAATTATTCCAATGTCGTATCTATGTGTTTGTCTTTTATCTCTTGCTTCCAGCAACTTCAAATTCCAACAGCCGTCCCTCCCCATGACAGTCCCTTCTCCCATCCTCAACACCTACACACTAGTCACAGATTCCCTTGAAAATTTATTAACAATGACATTTGGAAAACACAAGGCCATTTCCATTCAATTAAATAAACACAGCACGTTAACCTTCAGTAAAAGAAGTGGCTGTTGGTTTTTATAGGTGGCTGTAAACAGACTTTGAGCTTCACAAAGCCAAGATCAATAGAGCTTTGGCAAACAGTAATAATCTCCTGCACATTCTATCAATAGGTACTCAGAAAACATAGCTTGATCTTCATGGACCTGATGATTGGGCCCTTAGCCTGCCTTTTGCCTTTCTCTGATTGAATGTCAAAATGTCAAGAAAATGCTTCAATGGGAGTGAATTTCTCTACAGTCTCCTGAGGAACCAAATCGGCCAAGCTCTGACATTGGAGTGATGGAGGGAAAGCCTTCCATCAGTGGAGAAAAAGCTGAATCTCCAGGGAGAAAGCTGCTATAGCTGGTGATGGTAGCGCTGCAGCTGGCCAGGAGGTGAAAGGAGGTTGTGTCATCTGCTACTGTCAGCTGCATCTACTGTAATCACTATTGTCATTTTGGAGCAAGGACAAATAATATCACAGATGTAGACACTGGTTAATTATGCCTCTCCTGCCAGGTTGAGATTGGTTCCCAGTACTCTACCTAGACCACCCTTGGATGCTGGCCCTTGATCTAACCTTCATATATGAATCTATTTCTCTCTCTCTCTCTCTCTCTCCCCTTCTCTCCAGACTCTCATCCCCTCATCTCTGCTCTCTCTTTCTATCCATTTCTCTTTTCAATCTTCCTCTACAGAACATACAAATTGCTGCAAACAAACAAGTAGCCTGGAAATGATGAAAGAGCTCTAGACCAGAAATAGAGGCCTAGGGTCTAGTGTCCATTCTGTCTCCAACTTGCTATGTGACTCTGGACAGACCGTGTTTCTATCTTAGAGTCCCAATCTTCTGATCTGAAAAACAGATTGCACCTTGGGTCATATGGTCTCAAAGCCTTTTGTTTTAATATTAGAACTGGATTGTGAGAGACAGAAGACCTCGGTTGGTATTGCAGCTCATCTGTTTATTAGCTGGGAGGCTGTTTACTTTTCGGATCTCTAGTTTCCTCATTTGTAAAAATGAGGATAATAATTGCTAATTCATAGGATTATTGAAAATTAAAGAAAATAATATAAAGGCACAATAGTCTTTTAGAAAGAACAGCTGATTCTTATTATAAATCTGACTGATAGAAAAATAAAAGGGGAGAAATTATCAACATAAACATATCCCAAGTAGTCTTTGCAAGGCTGTGACAGAGGCACTGAAGGTTTTCTAAGAATCCAACCTGATTCTCCTCATAGTAAAAAAGGTACATAAATAAGAATTTTTGTCACTTTTATAAAATATTACAAACCACATTTATCAAATATTTATCCCATGCCAGTGATCGAGCTAGTCCTTTGTATAACTTAGCTCTCTGGATGCTCTTGACAACCCTAAGAAGTAGGTACTATCATTGGTTCCGATATATAACTACTTACATTATATTCTATTAACTGAGTTTTAATTTATAGCAATCGATCATAGGGGAGTTAAAAGTCCCAAAGGGCCAGCAACTTGGACTTGAACTCAAGAACATGTGACTTAAATGTCTGTGAGTTTAACCCCTAAGCTATGGCATTTATGAAATCTCAAGGGAGACTTCTGATGTTTTACCAACCACCCTACATTTTCCCATGAAAGCTATATCCTTATAAATAAAGAACAGTTAGTCAGCTTGCTGCCAATCAGTCATTTAGCTCTTGAAGCTTAATTATTCACATGATTATGCTCATCATCAAGGAAAAAAAATTAAAAAAGAAAGTCAGGACCCTGCCTCTGTCAATTGCCTATATTTCATTCTTTCCAAAAGCAAAGTATCGCCTGCATAATCCCAGAAATATTGGGGGGAGGGAGGAGAAATTAGAAGGACTACTATTTTTACATACCCCTTTGTAAAGAAAGATGCTGCTAGAATAAACATAAGCCCTGAATTCAGTGGTATTGCTTCAGAGGCTCTGAGAATGTGGTAATAACTTAGCAACTAAGATCTTGGCTCAGGAACTAGAGAAACTTGAGTTCAACTCCCAGCTTTCCTGTTAACAGTTTTAGACCTTACACAACTTATACAAATCTCCCTGAAGAGTAAAATAATTGAATGTAATTCAGGTAGTTAATGTGAATTTTAAATAATATATGTGAAATGCTAAGCTTGGTTAGCAAAGTACCTAACACATAGTAGATGCTTAGTAAATGTTATTCATAATTATTATTGTCTATGTACATTCTTTTACCTCCTTTACTTCTTTCTCCAACCCTTAAAACCAATTACTGTAAAGATTAGGAGGTAAATCTGAATGCCGTTATCTACCTACATAGAGCCTTTTAGCTCTTTGTAGAATTAATATTTGTTAAGAATTAAACTTTGAGGAATTAATATTTGTTTTAATGAATATTTGTCTTAATTTGTATGTGTTAATTAGCAATCTCTCACAATCCCATATGATAGTCTCTGTATGTGTGTCTGTGTTTTAAATAACTATATGTTTTATAAATGATTCCATTGTCTGAAAAGAAAGTAGACATGCATTTCAACACCTGGATAATTTGAGTTTCTTATACAATCACTTTGATTCTAATGAATTCATTTTCTGTGCATGGAGATCTTATGTCAACTTCAAGAGGAGTGCAATTGTGACTCAGTATTAGTGAAATCAATCATTAAAACAAATGGCTACCTACAGCATTCCCATCAGAAGCCAAGCAATGAAGAGGTTGTTTGGATCAAGGTGTAGTTAGCATCATTTCAACTTTATATTTAACTACACTGAAAAAGAATATTTCAGAGCCAGCAGAAAGGCAATTTGTTTGTGTCTCCTCTGAGCCAGTGTTCTATCTTTCTCTAGTATTGGCCTGTCCATGCCATGTTTACCACATACTAGGCATCTTCCATGAATGCAATTTATTATGAGATGAATTCTACCAGAAAGCAGTTATGCCCAATTGGCCTGATTGTGAGGCGATGAGAGCAACCGACGCTTTCACCCTGCTATTCAGTAGACAAACACTGGGGAAGGAAAAGTGGAGGGGAGCTTTCTAATGCAATTCACATTAAAGCAGTTCTCCTCCTGCAGAAACAAGCACACTGAAGTTTCCAACCAGTAACTTAACCATTCTAGTACTGGTCCTAGGCATCAACTAGTCTTCTTCTAGTCATTTGAAATTTTCCTATTTGAGAATGCAGTATCACTAAGGTATTGTTAATTAGTCTCAAGTATTATCGTGTTAGCAAAGCAGTGATCAGATGTATACCCAATAGGTTGGGATAAAGATGGAGCTTGGAAAGGAAAACCAAAAGAGATATATAATCAGAGAAGACCCAGAGTACAAAATGGAAAGTGAAAGACTATTCCTATTTCTATGGCAAATTCTTTACACAGTTTTACTAAAACCCCCATATGCCAACCCAGAGTAGTTGATATGTTTGCTACACATGGGAGAGCATTAAATTGGATGAAGGGCATTTTACCCCTGGCCATGAGCAAGAATCTGTAGCCTGAGTCTTTAGGAAAGCCAAGACATCTTCGGTGTTCATTCAGAGTTGAAGCTAACTGACTGAAGCACCTCCAGCAAAAGCCCTTCTCCATACCATTCTGTTTAAAAATCAAAAGCTGAAACATCTTTAAGAATGTGTGACTAGGCCGGGCGCGGTGACCCATGCCTGTAATCCCAGCACTTTGAGAGGCCAAGGCGGGTGGATCACAAGATCAGGAGTTCGAGACCAGCCTGGCCAATATGGTGAAACCCCGTCTCTACTAAAAATACAAAAATTAGCCGGGCATGGTGGAGGGCGCCTGTAGTCCCAGCTACTCGGGAGGCTGAGGCAGGAGAATTGCTTGAACCTGGGAGGCGGAGGTTGCAGTGAGCCGAGATTGTGCCACTGCATTCCAGCCTGGGTGACAGAGCAAGATTCCGTCTCAAAAAAAAAAAAAAAAAAAAGAATGTGGAACTGAAGTATTAGAATTGCATGCTCAATCTAGACAGCCATCCATCTTATCACTCGGGTCTGGACTTACTTTATTTTTCAAATTTGACCTTTCTAAATCTATTTCTACCATAGAATACCTTCTTATGTGGCTCTACAGCACTAATGTGAGAGGGAAATATCCCTCAATCCCATTTAAATTATCTTTGGCCTTCTAACTGCTGAGGGAAGATTCTTAAAGAATGCAGTTGAATATAAAAGCAAATGAAGGTAGTGAACATCAAAATGTGGTTCACTAATCAACTTCAAACAGCAAATGAATGGAGTAGCTTTGTCAGAAAACACCATGGGCTGGGCCTGGTGGCTCATGCCTGTAATCCTACACTTTGGGAGGCTGAGGAGGGAGGAATGCTTGAGCCCAGGAGTTCAAGCCCAGCCTAGGCAACATGGTGAGACCTCCATCTCTACAAAAAAGACAAAAAAAAAATTGCTGGGGGTGGTGGCATGTATCTGTGGTCCCAGCTACTTGGGAGGCTGAGGCAGGAGATCACTTGAGCCCAGAATGTCGAGGCTACAGTGAGCCATGCTCACACTACTGCATTCCAGCCTGGGTGACAAAGCAAGACTCTGTCTCAGATAAAAACAAAAACCCTATGAAACCTGCATCCTCACTCTACATGTAACTTTGAAATGATAAGAGCAAGATCAGAAAAGAGAAGGATGTGAGATCTACATGGTGAAGTCTGATAACAAAGCAGTATTGCCCAGGAAACTTGTTACTAGTGTAAGGACTGCTCTAGAAGTTTTACTGAATACAATGAATGTCCTCTTATCTATGAAAATCACCTAAGCACAGAGAATAAATTATATTTATAAACAATAGACAAAGAGAGAACTTTTTTTTCTTTTGATGCTTTGAAAGATTGAGAGAAATTAAAGGTGGCATTGGGGCAAGTAATACTTTTATGCCATGTTGCACCTGCCTGATCCTTATAACATTAAATTACTCTAAGCAAGAAACAACCTCTATGGGTTTTGTTAGGCAACTCTGAAACCTAATATTAAAAGCTAGACAACGTCTCCTAATATTAAACTGGGCCTACATTCTGTAGCTGACAGAAATAGAAATAGATTCTAGAGGCTTCTGCTCACTTCAGCTCCTTATACCTTAGAATTCACTTGTGCCCCATTTTCCCAGAATCAGTTTGAGTCCTGCACACACTACCAGGACATTTTGCCATCTGGTATCTACATAATGAAAATAAGTACAGTTATAGAAATAAAAGAAATAGGAAATGTCTGAGCCTAAAGGAAATAAAGATAGTTTAGTTAAATCAGCACATTTAATAGATGTGAAAACTGAGGCCCACAGAAGAAAGTTTCTCATAAATTTTATCAATAGCACAACTGCAAATTTCTGGATCAGAGCCTTTCCCACTGAAGTATATTAAAATATCTTAGTGCGGCGAGACCCATATTTGTCATTTACTGGGGAGCAAGCTGGCCTGAGAGAAATTGAAGTATACCCTTTTTACACCCAAACTTAAAGTCAAATGATTCAGTTCATATAAAGTCTTTTAAAAATATAATGTATACCTCTTTTATGAAACTGGCTATAATTTATCATTTCCCCTAAAATACTTTTTAAAATGACATTGCACACTAAAGTTCAGGAAAAGCCCAAACGTCACTGGAGTCTCTAAATATCTGGGGCCTGCAATGCTTGTTCTTATTTGGTTTCACAATGATTTTCTTATCTCAGCCCAGAAGAGGCACTCAGTTAATATTTGTTCAGTGCGTTAACACCTCCTTTTTCTCCTAAAGATTCATGAGTCTCTCCTTGCTGCTATTAGTTCTACTACCACTCCCAGATTCAAATGTATTTCTTCTGCTCTGCCTTGAACAAGACAATAAGATGGCCATCCTTTTATAACTGAGTATAAGGTTGATATAAATAGATTACAGGTGAATATTTTAGGCTTCTTTTGCATTGAGAAAACCTCATGAATGTTTGACTCTAGGTTTTGTATTAGCTTTTGCCACCATGTGTTTTTTGCTTGCTTTTTGGTTTTATAAAATGACAGACATGTCATGGGAGGGACCGTAGAGATTATCCAGGCCAATTCCTAACTCAGTGCAGGAATCCCCTTACTAGCAACCATGGTGTACAGTCACTCAGCCTTTCCCTGTGTATTTGAGCTACTTTTTGGGGCAGTTGAGATAATGTGTGTAGCCACTTATGCCTAGTGTTCCATTATTGGAACACTAAGCATGTGGGAGTTATTTATAGCCTACTGCTCAAGATATTTGCCAAGGTCTGATTTTTCTGTCATACATCAGTTTAAAAAATCACAACCTCCAGCATAAATGGGTTAAGAGACAGAATGCCTGGGCTCAAATTCCAGCTCTGTCATTCATTTCTATTTTACATGTTCTTGGAAATTTACTTCACTGTGTACCTCAGTTTCTTCATCTGTAAAATGAAAATAATAATAATTATACCTACCTCACATAGATGTTCTGAGGATCAAATAAGAATGCAGAGTCCTTAGAACAGGAACTGGAACACTCCAAGAGCTATTTGCATTCTCAGTTCCTACTACTACACCACTACTGCTTTCATTACTTCTGTTATGGAGCCAAAATATCTCTTCCCATAACTTCTATCTACTGGTCCTGGTTCTTTCCTTTAGAGTTAGGCTGATTAATGAGAATTGCTTCTCTACATAACAGGTATCTAAATAATTGATGACAGTTGTCATGTCCTGCCTTAAGCTTCTCTTATATTGGCAGATCACCGAGAGCTTCTGCAGCTCCTTATCTCATAGCTGTCTCTCACCACTCTTTCCTGTGAATAATCAGAGCTCCCAGTTATGAGCCAGGTACTGTGCAGAGTTGTTTACTTGCATTATGTAATCCAATCCTTAGGTCAAGCCAGGGAGGGAGCTTCCATCCTCATTTTGTCAATGAGGTAACTTGTCCAAGGACTCATAGTGGTTGAGCTGGAATTGATTACAGCTGATTTCACCATACTGGACATGCCTCACTTTCTGTCTTTCTCTCTCTCTTTCATCCTTCTCTCCCCTCCCTTTCTCTCTCTCTCTCCCCTCTTTAAATGTGGCAGCAGGAGGCACACAAGACTCTTGATGACATCTAATAAGGGCACAAATGAGAAGGATGGTTTTCTACCAATATCTAGCAGCCATATCACACTCTTTGCACTTATTCAATTTATAATTTTAAAAGTTATAAATTGGCTTTTGCATTTTTAGCACAGAAACATTATTTCAGTGGAATCTCTCCTACCTAGAAATGGAATAACGACTTTTCTAAACCTAAGGAAATGGTTTATGTAACCCTATTGCAATTCATCCATTTTGTCTTAGGATCATTCTTCCTATTGAGCTTCTTTTGAATCTTATGTCTGTCATTTACCATTTGAGCTATTGCACCAGCTCTCTACCCTGACCATCTGTTTTCAGAAGAATTACAGAAAGAGATACAAAGACCCTTTTTATCTCAATGAAAGAACTTCTTTCAAGATGTTGATGAGCATTTCTAAATGTCTGGTACTTTACTCATACTTCATATTCATCTAAGTTTCACAAATTAACCCTGTCTATTCTTATAACTGTTTTACAGACCCAGGACAGATAGAAGGTAAATAATTCACCCACAGACAAAGTAGAGTTCGATTTTCATCCATGCCTGCCCTACTGCAGACAATCTTCTCAATGACTTTATACTTCTTGTTTCTTTTTTGCCCATAGTTAACACTTAAGAACCTAGAGTCCCACATTCCCAGACGGCAGTGTGAAATAGGCCTGGGATGACTCTCCAGTAACTGATCTCACTGTGGCAGATGCAGGGCTTGCCTGGCCAAGTGCTCCAATTTACTGTCACCTGCTGTTTACCCTCTTAGTTTAGACTTTCTCCATTTATGACTTGCAGCCCCATTTCCAGCATTCTTGGCCATTTAGCTTCTACTGCCACGAGGGTCCTTTTGTGACGGCTATGAACTTCTTAAGAGTATAGGCTCTGATTTTGTTTTCAAGAGAGCTGCTTTGTGTTACCTTATTTTTATTGACTGCTGTGCTCAAGGGCAGGTGTTGATGCACAGGCTTCTTTGCCACCAAAATCATTTGGAGGTAAACCTTCTCTGATGTGACTTTTTATCAGACTAATGTCCCTAGCAGCTCTAGCTTCATTCTCTTGTCTAAGAAGCAACTTCCTTCGATGACTGTGGATGGTTATTTATTGCCCATGGTTTTAACGCCTTAAAATTACTTAACCCTTCACTAAAATGAAACCAAATCTGACAGCTATTTAAAGCTGCCTCATACAAGAGCCAAAACGTCAGATCAAACACGGTTTCCACTCTTGTATACCTAACCTGAAATTACAAAAATACACTTAAAGAATATAAAAGGTAATTATAGACTTATAATTACTGAAAACAGTAAGGTCAGCACCCCTCTAACTGAAAAACATCACTAGGCTATCTAATGACTAGGAATAGTCAGGATGTTGGCAGCATACCTCAGTGTATTACTGTATTTCCCTCATGCTTCATGCATATGTCAGAAATGTACAAATACAAAGCACATGAAGGTTTTGGATGTTCTTTCTTTCTTTATCTTTAGTCTTGGTTTAACTCATGAGCAGACTTTTCCCTCTTATTAGTAAAACAGTTGTAAACCTGTTTTGTTTGGTTCCCTTTTATCTTTTTTCTTCTTCTTTTTTTTTTTCCATATATTCTCTACGCTTCTGTTGAGTGCTCCAAACCTACCTTTGTTAATAAAGTCTCCACTCATACAGAAGCTAGAACTAGGCAAAAAAATAAGGCTTCTAATCAAAAGCCCTGTCTGGCATATCATCTCAGAGAGCTGGAAGTATGTGTTTTTGAGCATGGGGATTGAACTTTTTCAATCCCTATTGCATAAACATAGAAATACGCTGATGGTAAAATGAAATACTGTATGTCTCTAAATTTTGAGCTATTTTCATCAGTTTCAATCGATTTATTGTAGTATTTATCAGCAAAAACTAAAATTACATGGGGTGATTAACGAAAGCATCATTATTGTAGTAGTGCCCAGCCCCAGGATATTACTGCTATGAAGGGCTTCTTCACAGATGGGTTCCACTGGAAAATAAATAAATTGTCAAAGAAGCATCTAGAAGCCATGGTAGCAGCAGCAGCAGTTCAGGAGGCAGCTACAGCAGTAAAAGCAGCAATAGGAGAAATATAAGCAATAATTGTGCCAAATTCTCTAGCATTTTGATGGGATTTTTCACCTCTGTAATAACCAGGTTCTTAAAGCAAGAAGTGAGAAAAATGAATAAACATCTTAAGAGTACAATGAAGCAAATGGAAGAAATATGTGGCAGGTTTAATTAATAAAAACTTAATGTTCACATTTATAATAAAGATGCAACAATGATAACATCATTATAATAGTTAAAATAGCTCCTGATAACTTAGTCCTTATGATGTGCTAAGATAGGGCCACAGGTGCTTCTTGCATATCATACCTATTCCTGGCCTATGAAATAGATAATAATCATCTCCATCATACACACGAGGAAACCAAGTTACAGAGAAGCGAAGAATCTTGTTCCAAGAGATGCATCTAGTAAGTAGAACTATCATAAATAGTTTCCAGATCTTTCTCACTCCAAGGCTATGTTTGTAAGTTCTATTCTCTACTGCCTTCCACTACAGACTGAGCAGGAAATATTATAGAAATATTCTTTGGTGTCCAAAGTTGTTATCCATACTTTTTTCTAATTTGTTTTCTTCTAAAAAATGGCTAACCATATTTCTGGTTGATGACCTTTCAACTGAATACTGACCATTCAATTGCCAACCAAGGACTGCCATGTAATGTTATCTTTGAGTTTGTGCTTGCAATCACACTGACAAGAATTACTACTTTCATTAATGAAATCTGCATAGAAGAAAAGTGGGCTGACTATAGACATATATTAGATTTATTTGCAGAAAGAGAGGGCTGAATGACAGTCTAAGCTGTGTGGATGAAGGTTTTGCATGGGTTCAAACAGAGACAAATAATAACAGAACTGAGAAATCACAAGGCATACAGCAGTAAAATGTGCCAAATTCTAAAGAACCTAAAATATAGCAATTGTGTTGTATTTATGTTGCAAGTAGAGCTTTATTCTCAGGAAAATGTCATCTGCCACGTTAATGTTCTTCATTTACATGGTATTGTTTGCATTTGATTTGTAAAATTTCAATAACTTTCTGGTCATACAAGAACTATGAGATAGCTTTCTGTTTGTACATATTTAGAAAATGTTACAATATTTTAAATCAATTGTGAGGATGAATGAGAACATTTATTTACCCTTAAAAAGAGTTCTCAGTTTGTGCATAGTTAGGGCAAATTGTCATAAGAATGAACGGGACAGTGAAAAGCTGATCAACCACATTAGATAATCTTTGTTGACCAGGCAGCAAAAGAGAAGGTTGCCAGGAGGTTTAAAAGAAAAGAATAAAAAGATTCTGTGACTCCTTGCAATATATACCCTTGCCCTGTGTTGGGTACATCAGGATTGCCTTTGGAATCATTAAAAAATACAGACATTTGGTTTCGCTTCAGATTTAATCTTGGGTCTAAAACCCAGGCACACTTTATTTTAAGCTTCATAATGATTCTGATATGCTGCCTCCTCTACCCAATTAATCACTGCAAGCCAAAGGAATAAGAAGTGAAGACATTTCTTAGAACAGTGTTCACAACCTTTAACATGTATATGAGTCACCAAGAAATCTGTTAAATGCAGATTCCAATTCAGTATATCAGGCATGAGTTCTCTGGTTCTGCATTTGTAATAAGTTCCTAGATGGTTCAGGGACCATGCTTTGAGTAGCAGTATCTTTGGGGATAGGGTGATTGGCCACTTCAAGATAGATTGAAACAGGATACATCAGTTAAGACATAGGCTCAATGCTACATTTCTTAAACATGGCGATTGTTACATGAATGTACAGATATGACAACAGGTCATAGAGTGACAGGCATGGGTGTATAGAGGCATACACACACTAGTGCATACATGAATGCATTAAGAAAATAACTTTATATGATCCAGCAATCCCTCTTTTGAGTAACAGTTATCCTTCAGTATCCACAGGGGTTGGTTTCAGGACCTCCCACAGACACAAAAATCTTCAGATGTTCAAGACCCTCCCATGAAATGACATCAGATTTGCATAAAACCTAAGCATATCTTTCCATATACTTTAAATCATCTTTAAGATACTTAAGTTCCTAATACAATGTAAATGCTAAGTAAATAGTTGTTACACTGTATCGTTTAGGGAATAATGACAAGAAAAAAACTGTACATGTTTAGTACAGACACATTTTTTTCAAATATTTTTGATCCACAGTTGGTTGAATTCATAAATGTAAAATCCATGGATATGGAGGACCAATTATGTATCCAAAAAATGTGAAATCAGTACCTTGAATAGATATCTGCACTCTTACATTCATTGCAGCATTATTCACAAAAGCCAAGACATTATATCAACCTGAGTGTCCGTGCAGATGAATGGACAAAGAAAATGTGTGAGAGAGATATGTATGCATGTATAAACACACATATATATAGAAATATTATTCATCCTGTGACAAAGAAGGGTATTCTGATATTTGCAAAAACATGGATAAACCTAGAGGACATTATGCAGAGTAAAATAATCTAGAAACAGAAATACAAATACTGCATGATCTCACTTATATATTGAATCTAAAAAAGTTGAATGTATAGAAACAGAGAGTAGAAGTGTGGTTACCAGGGGTCAGGAAATAGGGGAAATGGGGAGGTGTGGGTCAAATAGTACAAACTTAGGTTATAAGATGAATACATTCTGGAGACCTAATATAGAGTATGGAGACTACAGTTAATGATAATGTATTGTATACTTAAAATGTGCTAAGAGTGAACCTGAAATATTCTTAACACACACAAACACACACACACGGTAGCTATGTGAGGTGATGGATATGTTAATTAGCTTGATTGTGGTAATCATTTTACAATGTATATATACATCAAACATTATGTTGTACTCCCTGAATACATATGATATTATTCGTCAATTATATCTCAGTAAAGTTGGGGATGGGGAAAGAAATACTCTCTACATTTTTTGCTACGATTGCTTTAACTTCTTTACTGTGGGAGAAAGAACAGTTGAGGGTTTAGATCAGAATTCAAAATTTGAAATTATAAAATTTATCTCAAAGGTGGGACTAAAAGAACTAATCCCTAAAAGGAAGAGAAAACAAAATTCTAAGGAAACAAAAAAAGACACCCTATTTGACCTGAGTCAAACTTTTCATAAGAAAAGGGAGAGCTGAACAGTATCAGCGCCCAGATGGCATAATGTTAGGATGATTGAGTCATCAAGTTATAGGATGCTGACCTGCTTTACTGTCTATAACCCTGCCTAACATATGGTCCTATTCTGCATTTCTTACTCAAACATCAATCCTCTGATCTCCAAGGACAGCATGCAAGAGAGAAAACAAACAGGATCAATGACCCCCTGCCGCCCCCACTCCCCCGCAGAATGGTGAGTCTAAAATCTGGATTTTCTTATCCAGGTTATTTCAAAAAATACATGAAAGCTCTTGATTGAAATACATTTGGGGCACATTCCAGCTATGTTAATATCAGAGCAGAGAATAATATCACAGGTTTTGCAGGCCATGCACTGCCTGTAGCAATGACTCAATTCTGCCATTGTGGCACAAAAAGAGCCATAAGCTTTTTTTTTTTTTTTTTTTTTTGAGAACCACATGGTTCCTGGGTCAGCTTGCACTCACAGTTCATGACAGGCTTAACTCTCATGATTTGAATTCAAGATTAGAAAGTCCCAGTTCTGGCATGATCACTCCAACAAAACCAAAAAGAGTCGCATGTTTCATTCCTATGACTTATTAATATTTGTTTACTGATAAGATAGATATAAGAGGAGGGAAGTTATGAGTCGATTTTTGAACACCTGCAGGTCAAGATCTGTTGTACCCTCTATGTAAAAGTGCCTGTATCCTTGGGGAAGGAGGAGCAGTCTGTACCATAGCAGGCCAACCTCAGTAGCAGTGCATAATCTGGTCTTGGATCTAGTTTTAGGGGGCTCTGGGTCCAGAAGTCTTGTAGTCCATCTCACTGTGGAACTCTTATCATGTACATTTACAGCACCAACATTGGTATGAAGCAACAGTGAATCCAAAACTGCGTAATGGCAGCAACAGCCCCAGGCAAAGAAGTCATATCATCCCAGATCCAATAAAGAATACAACCAAACAGCACAGATGGAAGGAGGAGGTGCTTCTAAAACCATGTAATTTACTTGTGCAGCCTCCAACACTGGCTTAAGCATTATCATCCAACAACAATGAAAATAACTTCTCAGATTTACAGAGAGGTGACTTCCAGATCTTCCTAAGGAGGTGCAAAGATTTGATAGAGAGAAGCACAGTAGAAAGTAAGCCAAACAAAGACGAGTGGGAAGTAATGATGGCAGAGGTGATGTGATAAATAAATAATCCCAAAAGCAGTAACTCCAATGATCGTGCTTACTTTGCCAAATTCAAGGAAGTAGAGTCAGGTTAAGTGTCTATTGGGACATTATATGAAGGGCAAGGACAGTCAAATCAATTTGATGACTCACAAAGTAATCAGACTAATTTTAGCATCTTTCAATATTTGATTTGCTGGGCCCTACTAGTGCTTAAATTAAAACACAACTTCAACTGGAGGCCTTTTGGTTTGAATAGTCAACTTGCTATGCATTTTATTGGTATTAGCCCCTTCTTATTTTAACTAATGAAAATGTCCTTGCAGCAGAAACTTGATCTCAGCCTTTTTTTTTTTTTTTTTTTTTTTTTGAGACAGAGTCTTGCTCTGTCACCCAGGCTGGAGTGCAGTGGTGTGATCTCGGCTCATTACAACCTCCGCCACCTGGGTTCAAGCGATTCTATTGCCTTAGCCTCCCTAGTAGCTGGGATTGGGATTACAGGTCACCACCCCTGGCTACTTTTTTGTATTTTTTTTTTAGTAGATGGGGTTTCATCATGTTGGCCAGGCTGGTCTCAAACTCCTGAACTCAAATGATCCACCCACCTCAGCCTCCCAAAGTGCTGGGATTACAGGCGTGAGCCACTGAGCCAGCTGATCCTAGCTTTTTAATTCACTTGCACTCTCAAAATCCCTTTTGCCCCTAGATCTCAGAATCTTTCTATCCCTTCCTCTAGTGCCTATGACAAACATAGCTTCTTTGACCATAGCATTCTTTAAAACTAAGCATAGATAGAGCCTCAAATTCTTTGTAGCCTAGTGAAAGGGCCCCCACTAATCCATAAGTATTTGTAAATAAAACCTACTTATTTTGTAAGATCTGGTATCTCCCCTCTTATGCCTCCTTATTTTTTGGTGAAGATATTTAGGCACACATAAATTCAACGATTTTTCTAACGTCAAGGAGCAAGCAAATGTCAGAGCCAGGACCATATATACTTGGTGCCCTGATTTCCATTCCAGCACTTTTTACATTTCACTCTCCTGCTTCTGTAAAGACCATGATACTCAGGGACATGTAGATTAACCACCATCACCATAAGGAGACTGGCCAGGATCCCATGTCAATTATACTACTCCCTACAGTGGCAGAGGTATGTCTGAGTCACAGATAAAATCAATCACATGCCATTTGATGTTAACATGGCACCTTGTACATACCCTGTGTATTTCTCAGTTCACATCACAATGCACTCAGAAAAATCCGTTTATCTGTCATTCCTAAATAGACTATGAGCTTCTTAAAGCCTGGGACTGTATCTTAGTCACATCTATATCTCTAGCATCCACTATACGGTCTAGAATATATTTGACATTTACTTATAATTGTTTACTTGTTGAATAAATATGTCAATAAATGAATGAATGACAGATAAATGAGAAAAGCACTAGACTTACACCAATTGTTCTGGATTCTAATTATGACTCTACTACATACCATTTGACTCATTTGGAGCAAACTACTGTAAAATCAAAGTAGCAGTATAACATGGTTGTTTAAAAAGTTCTTTGTGTACTATAAAGGGCATGTAGAGTCATAATTATTACTCATTTCCTTATTCAAGTCGTGTTCAGTGACAAGCATATCTCTAGCTTAAAACAGGAGTCAAAAATTCAAATGCTAGACAGGCTATACAATGTGACAAGATGTAAGAGATATAAAAGCAAAAATACAATGATAAATAGAAACACTACATGTAGGATGATTGCAGGGTTGGGGGTGGCAAGGACTGTGAGGACTTAGACAGCACATGATTCAACAAAATAGGGCAGTTTGGCTAGTTGTCCCTGGTATTATTACAAACTTAGTGTTGCCAGATTTTCTAATTTCTCAAGAAAACCTAGAAAACTAGATCTTGGTAATACCCCTCCATTAAATATTGAACAACATTGTACCAGCCATCTTGAGTTTATAAGCCACATGCTTGCAAACTCTGACATAGAAGTTGGAATACAATCATGATCAAGATTGTGAACAGGACCCACACAGTAACCACTTGGACAAAATTACCTTATGCAAAACCTACTAGTGGTGCACAGAAAAAGAGAATGAACTATGGGGTTAGAGAACCATGCCACTTAATAGATGGGTAGCCCTGAGTAAATGCACTTAATTGAGTCTGACGAGTCATATTTCCCTACATCTTCCCCCCCAAAACTGTAAATTGTACCCTGAAGACTCAAAATAGCTATTAAATGAAATAATGTGTTAAATCTTGGCTCTAGTGGTGATCAAATTTTGTGGCGAGCTTCAAAACATAAGATTGTATCAGCATTACCTAGGACAGTGGTTGAGACTCAACAAAGGATTGATAAATGAGTCATTACATAAAATGAGTGAATGAATTAATGAGCATCTTGAACAGTGTGCCCCTTCTAATCGGCAATGAATAAACTTTGCATTGTTACTGGGACATAAAGGCTATTTAGTTTCCACTTCACAAATGGCAAAAGTAAGGCACAGAGAAGTTAAGTAATTTGCTCAAGGTCACATAACTAGTGGAGCAAGAATTCAAACCAAGAGCTTATAACTTTAATTATTACTTGATATTGTCCTTCTGGATATTTTGGCCATTCCTGGAAAAGAAAAAGCTTTAAGTTCTCTAGTAGATCTGAAAAAAAAAAAACCTTCTGGGAATAGTTATTGACAATATAAATTAATAAATTAATTAGATAACTACATTTTAAACGAACACACGAAAGAAGCCCCTATAAATAATACATTGATGATTCAGTTCTTCATGGAGTTTGGGGTAGTTTGGTGCCAGAAAGAACTCAACAAATTAGTGTTAAAACAACATTAAGAGGCTTGAGGGTCTAATTAATGAGAAGGTAAAATAAATGAATCTGTGTGGTTGATCTAGGCCAAGAGTATGCACGTGTGTGTGTGCGTGTGTGTGTGTCTCAAATAAGCATTATATTTTACGGTAATGAGGAAGACATGAAAATTACAGACAGATTATATTGAATGTATTTTTTCTTCAGCCACTTGGAGTATAATAATCAAATAAGGGGCAAATGGAAGCCAAAAAAAAACCTTAACTAGAACTGAGAGAAATCTGAAGAAAGTATAAATATGGCCATTTTGTAGAGTTAAAATTTATGATAAATATATAATTTATTCCTTTTACCCAAAGACAAAACAAGAAGGAGTGGGACGAGAGAAGTTCTGTGGTTGTAATTAATAAAAAAGTAAAGAAAATGTCCATGCTTAATATGAGAACCTTGTGATTTCAAAATGTCAAAAACTAAGGATGCAGTAAGTGGGCCATTGTAGTAAGAAAGCAGAGTTAGGACCAGTGAACAACAAAGGGCTGGAGAATGGGCAATGGGGGAGAAGGTATGGAGAATTGGCATGAATATGTCTCAGCTCACAGAATTAATATTGTCATATGGGTCTTTATGTAATGTAGGCATTTCATTTTTTTACTCTAGGTAAAATTTTGAGGATATATATATATATATATATATATATAGACACACACACACACACACACTTGCTAAGACAGGGTAACACATTTTTCAATTGACAAACAACAGGAGCTCAGGACAACAGACTACATATATACATGTATATATATGTGAATATATATGTGTAGCAGACTACATATATAGGATTCCTATATATGTATATGTATACATATACCTACATATGCATATATGTATACATATACCTATATATGTATATACATAATGTATACATATACACAGATAAATATGTACATGTGCACATGTATACATATGTAGTATGCTACATATATATATACACATATACACACATGTATATCTGTAGTCTGCTACCCTGAGCTCCTGTTTTGTTGATTGAAAAATATACCTGCATATGTATGTAGCAGAATATATATATATATCACATGCTACCCTGAGCTCCTGTTACTTTGTTAATTGAAAAATGTGTTATCTTGCCTTAGCAAGCATTCATATATTAATTCACTTTGCAAAGATTGCAGTTTACTCAGTTGAAGGTGTTAACAGTCTATACTCCTACTTGGATTCAGTTGAGAAAAAGGCACCAGTTTAGACATAATATGATCTAATTACTTGGTTGAAAAGTTCTGCAGAATTTCTTATCCATAGACCAAAGGAGATTTCTGGTAACTATTCTAATGGCCAGTAGGAGTGCTTTTAAATAAAAGGGCAAAAAAAGAAAAAAAACACATGAATTTACTTGAATGTAATGATGTTCTGAGTACACCCACAAAGGAACAAAGAAAGTTTGACTTATAAGTGTAGTTAATGCAAATGACCAGAAATTCCAGGGAGAGGACAAAAGACGGAACAAAGGAGTAAGGAGAGGGACAGAGTTTAGGGATGAAGAATGAGCCTGGAAATATGTGCTCTTAGTAGGAAAGAAAGTGAAAAGAAAGTTGAAGGTAGAGCTGGAGGAGGAGACATAAAGTTTTTATATCTGTATTTGGAGTGTCTAAAATGCAAACATTTTCATCTGCCCCAGATGAACCCACTAGTAAAAATTCCTTCAAAAAAAGTCATTGGGTGGCTGCAAATGCTTGAGGTTAGGTCTGCATGAGGGATACAGAATAATAATCAGAAATAGTAAACATTACCTCCCTTTTCAGTGTTTTCATCAGACTACAAATTCACAGAGCACTGAGAATATTACATAAATTGCAAGCAGTTAGGAATCCTTCAAACCATGTTATTATCAAAATTAACTGTAGTGACGTTATCCTTCAAGTGACATAAAGAATTCAGTTAGTTGGGCTGCGTCCTAGAAAATTTAGGTTGGACCCTACAGCATAAAACATGACTGAATAAAAGTTAATCCAAAACTGGCTGTGTTTGGTTTTGAGGAGCAAAGGGGATAAGGCTCAACTCTTTTGAGTATGTTAAACTGCATCATATCAAAAGAGAAATAGTGTTCAGTGCAGGTCTGCAAACACTTGTGGACACTCCTTACATGCCGGGCACATGCCAGGAGCTCCCCTAACTGGGCCTCTGGAAAGATACTGATAAAAAGACATAATTTCAATACTGTATATGTACTTGATTAATCTAAAGGCCTGAGTTCTTCTTAATTTCAACTTACTAGCTGCAAATCCCGAATTATATTCCTAGTTCAGGCAGCAAGTAAACCAGAACCTAAAACAAGATATGAACCAATATTCAACTTCCCTCCAATCCATGATAGGAGTGTGTGAATCAAATTCTTTACACCTGCAATATCAACAATAATGAACACCCGAAGTTCCATTCACTAAAGACTAGGCACTGTTCTGAGTGACTCACATGTGTCCTACCCTTGATTCCCCCACCACTCTCTGGGGCACGAAGCAGTTAAATAACTTGCCTAAGGCACACCTAGAAAGTGACAGTACTCACCAAGAATGAGTTTGAGAAGGATTCAACTGCCCAAGAATCTTGCTTCCATCTGTCTCCAGACTATCTTACCCTTGATCTCACTCTCCCAAGGCACATACAGCTAATCTTAAGGACATTAAACTTGATATCAAAGCACTGATAGCACATCCCCATTTAAGCTAAAAGCCTTACTATGTGCTCTATCCCTGAGCATGCTGTTTTAATTAGGAAGATGGATTTGAGAGTTCTGTCATTTAAACCCAAACAGTTAGTTATGTGGTTTGTTATTATTCTTTTTAATCATTATTCTTTACTTTCTCCATCATAACTATGCCTGTTCTGCAAACCAATAAGAAGTATATGAAGGCATGGGAAGCATGATGAAGGGAGGAATCCCTTTTTTTATAAGGGAGGAGTAGAAAGAATAACACAAAATAATAATGATTATATCTATTAATCTCAAATACTGAGCATTTATTATGTGTTTGGCACAGTAAGAAGAAAACACACACATGAAAGTAAAGGAAATGAGAATGGGAGACAGAAAGTCAAATATGGAGACACACAAAAAATTTTAAAACCTTTTTTTGTGTCTGGATTGAAGAATCTCCCTATAAATTCACTCCATGCCTCCTGAGAGGAAACCAAAGGATTTCAGGCAGAAATTATGAAACCCCAAGGAGAGTCATTATCAGCAGGGAGACAGCTGTGATATAGCATCCCTGATCGTCTACATTCAAGGCTCAAACTCAGGGGGACCATAGAGGTCCCTTTGTTAAAATAAAGCAATCATTTCCACCTTCATTAAAGAAAATATCATGGCATTATTAATCTACAGCAAAAGTCCCATATGCTGTAGTAATACTGGTGAATCTTACTTTTGGGAGCTGTTATTGATAGCAAATACTTATAAATAAAACATAAATAATCCTTTAATCATACATAGCTTAACCATATTCACGACGCATGCTGACTTTGCTACAGAAAAACCTTGCATTACCTCATCAAAACTACTAAGAATAATCAATGATTTTTTTCTCCTTAATTGCAACTTTAGGACCTGGAAGTGAATAACCAAAAATACACAGATATGAATATATTTTCAAAATAGTCAAAATCCTCTTTAGGTCTTATCTTTAAAAAAGAAAAACACAGGCCAGAAGTAGTGGCTGATGCCTGTAATCCCAGCACTTTAAGAGGCCGAGGAGGGTGAATTGCTTGAGCCTAGGAGATCTAGACCAGCTGGGCAACATGGTGAAACCCCATCTCTACAAAAGAGAAAAAAAAATTAGCCAGGCACTGTGGCATGCAACTGTGATCCCAGCTACTCAGGAGGCTGAGGTGGAAGGATCTGAGCCCAGGAGGCAGAAGTTGGAGTGAGCCAGGATTGAATCACTGTACTGCAGCCTGGGTGACAGAGCAAGACCCTGTCTCAAGAAAGAGAGGAGGAGAGGAGAGGAGAGGAGGGGAGAAGAGGGGAGAGGAGGGGAGAGGATGGGAGGGGAGGGGAGGGGAATGCAATGTCTAAAGGATGATCTTGAGTATGTTGCTGACATAGCTGTGGGAATGTAGGGCTTGGTCATCTGGCAAACCTAAAAGAATGTCAGGTGGGGGCACTTTGGCAACTATGGTGATAGGGAAATAAAGATAGTGCTATGGGAAGAATTTTCATAATTTTCAAAACATTCTGTACTTTCTTTTGTATATTTAACTGTTTATTAAGTAATTATTTGTGCGTTTGTTTAATGTTCATGGACATGTTCCCAGCATTTACTAGAATGTAGAAGGTATTCATTAAATACTTGTTGAATGGCTGGCAGAATAAAGGATGAACAATGAACCCTTGTAAAATAATGGTTTTCTCATTTTCCCTGACCCATCTCCAGACTGAGTACTAAGGTCCTGGATTAGAGTTCGAGAAATTGGGAGTTTCTAATAAGAATCACAAGAAGACAAAGGTTCCCTCATAAAGTATGAATTACATGGAAGACTTCCTCCAGGCATTGCAAATTCAAACACTTAGGGGCAGGCTGTTGACTAAGACATAAAAGAAAGTTTGGGTCTGTGACAACAAGGGAGTTATTTTCCCCTCTAGGGAGTCGGGAGATCCAAGATCCTTTTTCCTCAACAATAAACCTCATTGATTAGTTGCTCCTCTCTTCCTGGTGGGTTCCAGAGGGATTGACTGTGGTATCAGTCTCTCAGCCTTCATGCCTGAGAAGTGATGATTTATTTACAAATAGAAGGATCAAGGCATCTTCTAGAATCTCCTGTGGGATCAGAGACTAGTATCTGAAGAAACCTTATGTCACCAAGAATGAGTTTGAGAAGAATTCAAGTGCCCAAGAGTCTTGCTTCCATCTGTCTCCAGACTATCTTACCCTTGCTCTCACTCTCCCAGTGCACACAGTTAGTCTTAAGGACATTAAACTTGATAACAAAGCGATGATAGCACATCCCCATTTAAGCTAATGGCCTTACTATGTGCTCTACCTCCGAGCATGCTGTTTTAATTAGGAAGACGGATTTGGGAGTTTATATGTTCTGTTGTGCTATAATTCCTGCCTTTACAGTAATTTTCTCCTGCTTTTCACACTATAATGTGCCATAAATCCTAGCTAGGCTGTTTCACTGGCCTGTTGCTAGTCAGAGTTAATATTTCAGGCCTTTTGTTGCCATGGCAACCTCCTGCCGTACTCCCCTTCACTGGAATATGATACAGTCTCCTGGGGAAATTGCTATGAACTTGATCATTGCATGGATTTAGGCCCCCTGATGCATCAATTCTGCCCCCATCTCTCACCACCACCCACTGGCTTCTCTCTGTTCCCACTTTATCTGTGTGCATATGTGTGCACGAACACACGGGCCTGCACATGTATGCATATCTGCCAGGGCAGATACATGAAAGAAGAAAGCAAACAAACTAAGGGAAGCACCATCCTTTCTTTCATCCCTCTTGAAAGAGAAAACGGTAAACTTTGACAAGTTTTAAAGCCTAAACAAACCAAGCACACGTCTCACAGCCTTGTTCTGTCGCCACCCTATGTTCTTGCCTCATATTTTCTTTTTAGTTCTTCGTTCCCATAAGCCCTTTATACATTTTTAAATCTCAGTGTGTTTCTTTCGATATTTAATCGCAGTGTATGCCCCTAGTTTAAATCCATTGCCCCCTACCTTTTCTTAGAGAAACTCAAAACCTAGCTGTCTTTCATTTCCAGAACTCTTCTTCTAGATTTCTTTTTACCATTAACCACCCCCTATTCTTCGGGGTTTTCTCGAGTGTGGAATAGGAGAGAAAAACACACAACTAATAACCAGTAGCTCTGGGCGAGCCTTTTTGTGACTCACTTTCCTAGTCTATCAAGTAGAAATAATTTACCCATTCCAAAGAGTCTTTGGTATAGCTGGAATTAAAGGAAAGCAATGGTTTCAAAGGACAATTACAAATCTGAAACATTTGAATTATTATTGTAAATAAACCTATGAGATCCTACTCTTGTAAATTTGTTGAAGTTCCTTATAGAGGCTGGGTGTTAGACGTTTGTTGGATGCTCAGTGTGCAAACATTCTCTCCCGTTGTGTAGGTTGTCTCTTTACTCTGTTGATAGTTTCTTTTGCTGTGCAAAAGCTCTTTAGTTTAATTAGATCTCATTTGTCAGTGTTTGCTGCTGTTGTAATCGCTTTTGGTGTCTGCCTCATGAACTCTTTGTCCGTGCCTATGGCCTGAATGGCATTGCCTAGATTGTCTTCCTATTCTTTAGCAGCACTTTTCCAACAAAACTTTTAAGAGCCCAGTAATGCAATCTAGTTGTTTGGGTTAAGATTTGAATAAAATCGAGGAGGTGACAGCAAAGAAAAATTTTTCATTCTATTTTCTACCTTTCCACCCTTTGCTCCATCGTGTCAAGCTTGCCTCTGGTCTTGCTTTTGGGTCATATCAAGATCTCTCCAGCATGCAGTACCCATGTTGAAATCCACACATGTTGTACCAGGAACAATTCTCAGAGATGTCCCTCACCATCACTCACATGCAAGGGTCAAATTTATACCAGCACAGGGAATGCCTTATAAAGCACCAAGTTCTCTCTCACAGCCTTAGTCTACATGCAGGGACAGCAAGATGACTACCTAAGTAGGAGGTCTTTACTCACTCCCTCCATGCAAAAATGAGAACATAGATCATGATGTGCTTTCACTGCACTGCATCTCAGTTTTAGCAGCTTATTTTGAAATAGAAGCAGAAAAAGCAAATCATCTGAGTGATTAAGAGGGAGTAACAGGGTGACAGAGTCCACAGACTCTTGTTCCACTGGAGGTCCTGCTCTTTCTCTCTTCCTTTTTCCTTCCCCCTACTGAGCTGATTAACTTTGCTGTTCCAAAGCCTTGTACCCTACCCTACTCCCAATATCTAAAAATGTTCTTTATCATATGGTAATTTCACCTATTTTTGGGAAAGGCATGTCCTCATCCCTAGCATAGGATTAAGGAGGCCCATGCATATGTCCGTTCACACATCTTTCATTCACTAAGTGTGGCTTTGGGGTAATTCATTTTACCTTTTCTGGGTCCCAGCCTCCAGATTTCTAAATTAGAGAAAAGTGGGACAGATATTAGAGCCTCTAATGTCTCTTCTGACTCCCATAGCCTATGGTTTTCCAATTAATTCCCACATCATGGCACATGGCATTCACCCCCCAAAAGAAACAAATATACAACAAATTATTTATCTCTTTTCAGATAACCCTACCATCCCACAGTCCTCAAATTATAGGTGCTAAAAACACACTTTATTTTTCCTTTGCAGGTATAATTACTTCTGCTTTATTAAATATTAATATTAAATTTAATCAACTCACTGAAATAATTGTTTGTCTTTTGTACAAAAAGATTTATAAGATTCTGAGTCTGTCTTGCTCATAACTGTATCAGCAGCACCTAGCATAGCACACAGCACCTAGCAGTCATTCAACATACAATTGTTTTGTGAGAGGTTGAATTGATGAATTAATGAACAAATCAAAAGGCTGTTTAAGCCCATCCCGACAATCCCTTTAGTTTGAGATCTAATTCTTCAATGGTGGCAAGTAGCCAATATGCTTTTAAAAAATTGAATGAGGTATTTCTTCCAAATATTTTCATCTGACCAATTAAGGTAGGTGAGGGGAATTTCTTCTGGGCCTGGTGTAAAATTGCATTTACATTTAAGACCTACAATATCATTAATTTTACTTATGCTAATTCAAACCATTAACTCTAACCACTCTCAAAGTCAATACAGTCTCATAGAAAATATATTACATGCAAGTTTTTGTCCCCAATTATGTGATTTTTACAGCAGTAAAATAAGTTTTTGCTTACCTCTCAGGAGTTAGAAAGATGGATTTTTATTATGAATATGCATGTGCATTGCACATTTTTAAGTTAAAAAATCATCTAGCGTAGTACATGTTGTATAGTTAGTATTTTCTAAACTGTTAAGTGAATGAGAGAGTAACTGAATTTTAGACACAGAAAAAAAGGCTGGGTGAAGTGGCTCACGCCTGTAATCCCAGCACTTTGGGAGGCCAAGGTGGGAGGATCACTTGAGCCCAGGGAGTTCTAGGCCAGCCTGAGCAACACAGGGAGACCCTGTCTCTACAAAAATAAAAAAAAATAAAATAAAAAATTAAAATAGCCAGGTGTTGCAGCACATGCCTGTAGTCCTAGCTCCTTGGTAAGCTGAGGTGGGAGGACTGCTTAAACCCGGGAATTCGAAGCTTCAGTGAGCTGTGATCATGCCACTGCACTCCAGCCTGGGTGACAGAGCAAGACCCTGTCTAAAAATAAAATGAGAAAAAGAAAGAAAGACAAAAAATGATGTGATTATTACAAGAGTAACAATACTCATTGTTTTTTTTTTTTTTCATTACCAGGAAAACTAAAATCAGTTTACACGTACTTATTCATCAGTCCACAAAATAATCAGGAGAGTTAAAGTAGTGAAGTGTAGAGGAAAAAGAATCTTGAGTTTGAGGTCCATTGTCCTGTCATATAACACCTGGAACAAGCCACCGCACATCTCTGGATAAAGCTGAAAGAGCAACACCTCCCTCAAATTGTTACTGTTTTCTCACGTGACTCTGGAAGCAAAATAAGACATCTTTGTAGATCTTGAGGCATTACAGAAAAGTTCATTATTAGAAAGCAGAAGACGCTATTCTTCAAGAAAGGAAGAGTTTCTTAACTTATCTCTAAGTCAGTGGTTCTCCTAGGACAATGCACATCAGAATCAACCAGAAGGCTTGTTAAAACACAGATTACAGGCCCCACGTCAGAGTTTCTGAGTCAGTAAGTCTGGTGTGGGACTAGAGGATTTGCACTTCTAAAAAGTTCCCTGGTGATGCTGGTGCTGCCTGTCCAGGAACCATACATTAATTTCCACTTTTCTAAGTACAGGGTGACAAACAGAACTGCTTCCAGGGACTAGAGGGCTCACATAAATATGTAATTCAGGCCAGGGGTAATGACTAAGGCTTGTGAGAGCCTAGATCATTCCTGCCTTCCCTAAAGTCATTCAAATCCAAAATTTATTTTTGAAAATATTTTACTAAACAAAACAGGTCCATGGGTAAAATTTGGCCTGTAATAATCCTTCCTGAATCACGCACAAAGTTTGTGAAGAGATTAGACTGGACACTAGTTCCCTGGGCAGCTACTGACTCTGCCTGTGTGTTCCTGCACCTAACTGATGCTTGAGAATTGTAAGCAGGACACTGTAAATGTTTCAGCCTGTAAAAATCCAATGGGTGACTCAGAGTCCTACATTTACCCTGCAATGTGTTCAGTGATAATCTCTGCCCTGCTCATAAGTTAGGAACACAAAAGACAACAAGGAGGCTTGTTACGGGGGGCTATATGCAACATATATAGGCTTATGCTATAATTCATGCCCAATTCACAATAGCCACCTCCAATCTTTAATGGTTTAATGAAGAGAATAAACTCTTAATTTCTGCGGTTCTCTGCTCTTTGACAAGTATCAAAAGATTATTAATTGATATGGCTAACTGATATACAGTATATAGATCTGGAACAATGGGTCCATCCTGGCTTCAAATATGATAATGACGAATGTTTGGGCTAAGGTCTAAATCACAAACTAATGGTTATGTAGGCTGTGCTTTCACCACCAGAAATGCATAAGTTCAGCCTGAATAGTAGACTTTGGAACTAATTTGTTTAGCATCCCAGCGCCTAGCTTATAAGTCTCATGTAAGTAAGTAAACTTTCTGAACTAGTTTCCCATCTATACAATGGAAAAAATCATACTGCAAAGGCTGTTGTGAGGATAAGATTGAATTAAGTAAATAAGAGCCTAGGACAACACTTGACACACAGTAGACTGTAGTTTAAAATGTTAACTTAGGATTTCATAGATATAAGAAAATATAGCAATGGTCGGACCTATGCCTACGTAGTCTTCCCAGAGACTATCAGTGGACACTGAGCCTCCTCTGAAAAGCCATGGAACACCAAAAATGAATCCCATAAAATAACCTCCAACAAGACAATAGGATATTTAAGGGTTGTGCTGGGTTGAACAATGTCCCCCTGGAACCTCAGAATGTGATATTACTTGCAAATAGAATCGTTGTAGATACAATTAGTTTAAATGAGGTCATATTGGATTAGGGTGGGTTCCAAATAAAAGACTAGTGTTCGTATCAGGTCACGTAAAGACAGGAGCACACACAGGTGCACATGCACACATGCACTCACACACACATATGCACAGGGAAGAAGGCCTTGCAACCACAGAAACAGGGACTGGAGTGACGCTGCTAAAAGCCAAGGAAAGCCCAGAATTGATGGCCGCCACCAGAAGCTAGGAAAAGGCAAGGAAGAATTCTCCCCTAGAGCCTTCAGAGGTAGCATAGCACTGTCAGCACCTTGATTTTGGCCTTCTATTCTCCCGAACTGGGAGAAACTGATTTTCCAATGTTTTCAGCCACAGTTTTTCACAATTTGTCAGGGCAAACCTAGCAAATTAATGTAAGTGGTCATATTATAAACTTACATCTGCCATAGCCTTGAGCACAACGCTTTTTAAAAAGTAAATCTTCAGTATTTGTTTCATTAATCAATGCATAATTATAGTTCTTGAGTTTATACTCACTTATATTATTATTTTTTCTCCTCATCTAATGAGCTTGTTCCCCACCATGCCGTTTGTAGACCCCTGGAGTCAGAGACCACATCTAATTGCTCTCCAATATTCTCAATATCTGGCCCCACAGTGAATAGTCAGTACTCAATAAATGATTATTGATTTCATGATACACACTCTGTAAAAAGTGCTACAATACTTTGAACATTTTTTTTCTTGCTTCCAGCCAGGAGATGAAGCACACCTTGGAAAAAGATTTACTTATAACATGAATATCTCTGGGGGAAGTATAGAGAAACCAGTGTCAGCAATAAAAGTGTACTGAAGTATTTTTCAGCAGTAAAATAAGTTGGCTTTGGGAGCTATGTAAGAGTGTGGGAACTCAAAATTCCATGAGAATGAATATTATGAGGATGGCATATTGGCATCTAAATGGAAAGTCAAGGATTTTGCTTGGGCTTAAGATACATTTTAGAACCCTGAGAAGGTTGGGCTCTTTAGGGGCGTGCCCTATGGAACCTGGTCTGAGGTGCCTTCTTTGAGGAATAATGAAACTCCCAGCTTTTTTTTTTTCTTCTTCTTTTTTTTTTTTTTTTTTTGAGATGGAGTCTCACTCAGTAGCCCAGGCTGGAGTGCAGTGGCACAATCTTGGCTCACTGCAACTCCACTTCCCAGGTTCAAGTGATTCTCCTGCCTCAGTGTACCGAGTAGCTGGGACTACAGGCATGTACCACCATGCCTGACTAATTTTTGTATTTTTAGTAGAGACAGGGTTTCACCATTTTGGCCAGGCTGGTCTTGAACTCCTGACCTCAGGTGATCTGCCTGACTTGGCCTTCCAAAGTGCTGGGATTACAGGCATGAACAACCACGCCCAGCCAACTCCTAGCTTTGATGCCTAAAGACTCAACCCCCTTGAACCCCTCCAACAGATGCTTCTCTTTTACTTTGATAGCACTATTTCCTTATTTTAATGGCAGAGGTTGAGAACAGGAAGAAAGTCAAGAGTTTTGCTAGAAATATGATTGCCCAGCCTCTAGGGATCTTGAAGAATTTCTACACTTTCTCTTTGTTACTAGTGTCTCATTGGTAAAAAAAAAAAACAATGAATATTTTCCATCTGCTTACTACACTGAGATGTGTGGAGTACATATGAGTTAGTTTGTCTGGGTCTTAGTGAAAGACATGATTTGTGTTCAAATGGTTTCATTTTTGAAACAATTTATTCAAGTCCTCCTCTATAAATTCATTGCTCAGTTAAAACATCTTGCAAAGAACTTCCTGATAGGGCATTCTAAGAGGATCCTAGGTCTGCAAGGGACTGGCTAGTTTGTAACTGGGCAATGGAAATTTTACCAGATACCAAGCCAGTTGTATAGAAGGCACATATATGGCACTGCTTGAGCCATGGCCCCTTCTCAAAAAACTACACTTGCATTCATTCATGTAGGATTGGAGTTAGCGGGTGGATGGCAAGAGTATACAGTTCAGAGTGCTCTTAAGATTGAGCTTCTTGTCAATTAATTTCATTGCTGTGAACCCTGATGGAAGCTGATGAATGCAGCTGGAGCAAAGGAAGACAGGGAAGTGTTATAGATGATCTCAGGGTCCTTTTTTAAGACTGCATCTGTAAACTGAAATCAGACTGCTGACCTGCTAGCCAGGCACAGAACCTCATTAAGCAAGAGATGTTTGAAATGTCTGAACACTTCATTTGGATTCCATGTAAATTCACAATTTAACTGACCAAGCTTTCAGCCAGTGAGTTGTAGCTAAGGATTTTCTGCCTATTGTCAATGTGTCTTTCTAAAAGACATGAAAGTCCAGGTTCTGAGTACTCACAGGTTGTAAAACTTACCTTGTATTTTCTTCCAACACTCTTTCCTTGCCCATCTCTGGAAATAAATACCAATACTTAGGCCAAATTTATGGATTCTTGGGTTTGATCACTTATCTCCTCCTCAAATTAAACAAGACCATTGTTTTATGATTATGCTTAGGTACCAAAAGCATCTTAAGATTTTTACTTTTTAATTTGAGTGTTGTTATTCAACCTTACACTAGACTACCTGTGATGTAGATATAGAACCATGAAGCTCAAGAGAAACAGGGAGGCAAAGTGCCAATAACAAAGAAATGTGCAGGTCTCATGGAGTTACTAACAATTACAGTCTATTTATTCATCCAAGTGTTTGTTCATTCATTCAATAAACACGTATTTAGCACCAACAAAGATGATTAAGACATGGGTCTTGTTATCAATTATCTTGCAATTTAACATCAGACAGTCTGACAAACATTTTCATGAAAGATGCATGTAATTAGAAGTCAGTGCAGTGGTATAAAGGAGGAAATGGTCCATTCACATGCAGGGATGAGTTTTGAAAGGAGCTTCATAAATGTTATATTTAATCTCAGGCTAACACTTAACTGAAGAACTGTATATGTTCAAGAAAGGAAAAAAAAATGTAAAAGAGAAGGAAAAATCCCTATTTTCCAATCTCACCTACTTTAAATTATGCTCTGTCCCAATAGCACCTTTCTGTATGTTTCCAAGACAGCTGCCTCTGGCCTTCCTAACAGCTCCCTCCCCAAAGAGATTGTATGCTTTTCCTTTAGCATTATACTAGGAGGTCAGAAAATGAATCTCTATTTTATTCCCTGAAGGTAGGATTTTCTTTCTTCAGTGGGAAAATAAAGTTTAATAAGTAGCGCATTGACCAAGGGATAGTCGTATGAAAGTGGCTATTTTCTCTCCAAGATTTCCTCTGCAAGGTCAGATATGTAGTAGTTGAAAAAGAAGTAGGGTTAAAAATAATAATAATACCCTTCCCTCTGACATTAATCATTGATATTGACCTTTGGTTTGTGTAAATTAAATTAATCAAGTAAAAAGATACAGCGCGGACTCAACTATTTTAACATAAGCAAATCAATAAACTGCCACCCTCCTGGTAGAAATTTTCCTGGCCTCTTCCCCTTGACTGTCTTACCTGTCTGTTGTCTGGTACCCTTCCTTCCTCATTCCTACCTGTACACAAACTACAGGGCTGCTTCTCAAGCAAAGCAACACAACCATTCAAGGAATGTTTTAAAAACAGCACCAGGACCCGCTCTGGATGTACTGAATTTGAATCAAGGGTAAAAGGGACTCAGGTTTTTAAAAAGCTCTGCAAGTGGTTCTCATAATCAAACAAGGGTGAGAACATTTGTTCCACCCCAAACTTAGGCTCTATAAAGCATATATTTGTATATATATATATGAATATATCTCTTATTAGTAAAATATATGTAGATATCTTTCACACATACTAGCAATTTCATATATAAATATATCAGGAAATACAATACATATATGGACCTATAATTACGCAACCCCCGTATTATGTTCCATATATGAATATTCACATTACAGGCCTCTTTACTCATTTCAGTTTATGGTGATATTAAAATTATTAATACATTTAAAAATAATGGATTATATAGGAAAAATAGCTATGGAATAAAAATCAATTTGCATAAAACATGCCAGCATGTATTGGTGCATGCATATAATACATACATGTGTATATATAGTATATATGTGCATAGCATGTATATATGTGTGCAAATTTATTTGTACATATATGTGTGTAAATGAATACAATTCTTTAAGATATTTACCTCATGATATCACATTTCTTAATAATGTTTTATTGCCAGAAACAACCAAATCCTTGTTCTCAGATCTAGTTTCTGAGCCACTAATGAAATTTATTTCATTGTTTTATATTCACAGCCTGCATTTTTTTTTTTTTTTGAGATGGAGTCTAGCTCTGTCACCCAGCGGGGAGTGCAGTGGCATGATCTCCACTCACTGCAAGCTCTGCCTCCCGGGTTCACGCCATTCTCCTGACTCAGCCTCCGGAGTAGCTGGGACTACAGGCGCCCACCACCACGCCTGGCTAATTTTTTTGTATTTTTAGTAGAGATGGGGTTTCACCATGTTAGCCAGGATGGCCTTGATCTCCTGACCTCATGATCTGCCCATCTCGGCCTCCCAAAGTGCTGGGATTACAGGCGTGAGCCACCACGCCCGGCCTCACAGCCTGCATTTTTTTTATACACACACACACTCCACATATGCAACATCTTTTACTAGGCTTAGCTGTAAACAGTTTTTGACAGTATATCAAACTCAAAATCTCTTGAAAAGGCACTGTTTTGCCTTTATGAAGAAAATTCAAGATAATATGCCACTGCTTCTGGAATCAAATGCCTTACATACCAAGCAAGGCAGAAGTTCATAAATATTTTGGCTCATGGCTCTGTTACAATCTGATGAAAACTATGAATACTTCCCAAACAATTCATGAGACTTCTTTTGCCACCCAGATGTCAAGTCACAGGCCCAAAGTTATGAACCCTGGCAGAACAGTAGATATCTTTGTAAAGGGAATATTTCATATCTTCCCCTGTTCTTTCCCACAGCAATTAGCACAATGCTCCACACAGGATGGTTGTTCCAAAGATGTTGTTAACTGGCTCCCTTTGTGAGTACTCAATAGTGAAGACAATAAAATGAAATTGAGGCTAAAGCTAAATTCTATGATAAACACTAAATAACAGGAACAAGTGAATTTATTGCTCTGGGTAAAATGGCTAGACACTGAGGCATCAAGAAGAATGCGGGCTCTTTAGCTAGACAGAACTGCATTTACATCCCAGCTCAGCAATTTACCAGGTAAGTGACCTTGATCGAGCAAGTCAGTTATCGTCACTGAATCTCAGAGTCCTCATAAATAAAATAGGAATAATACAAATGTATAGACTTTGCTTTGAATATTAAATGGACAGTAATTCAAAAGGCTGACTCCCCTGGGATACTTTTAAAAATACTGGTATTGATATAATATTTACATATACAATGTTTATATTTAAGAAATACTGATGCCAAGTCCTGCCCCTGTCTCAAAAGGTTCTGATTTAATTCACCTGGTGTAGGTCCTAAGCATCAGGGTTTTAAAATGCTTCCTTGGTAAGTTTAACATGCATCCCAGGTTAAGAACCACTGAGATAACTAATATGTGTAAACACCATCTCAATGCCTGGTTGTTAATAGACCCTCAACAAATGTTATCTTGAGACTGCCTGAGTAAAAACGCTAGTCTACCATTCCTAGCTGTATGATTTGGAGCAAGTTCTTTCAATTCTAAGGACTTTAATATCTCAATCCGAAAAACCAATGTAAGAAGTGTACCTGACTAATCACGAGAACTGAGATACTCCATGCAAATTGCTTACTGTGGTGGTAACAAGCTCTATATCTGATAAATATTAGCTACTGCTGTTATTATTATCATCATTGTTATTTGCACTTCCTTCCAGCCCCAGAACAAAGCTCAGTGACATGTGTGTTCTTCCTACATCCTGGTTGAATAATACATTAACACAAATGATTATACCTTTCAACACAATTTTTAAAAAGATTTCACTATCTTTTATTTTTATATTTCTCTACATGCCACCAAGCATAAACTATGCCTAATACTATGATTTGTTTTTTTATAAAATATTCTTATCCAAACTAGACATTGATTTGAAATAACTAATTCAATTAGCTGATATTTTAAGTCAAAATTTCTGACTTCCACCCTACTGGACCTAGTGATAATTAAACAAAAATAACAGAATTTTGTCAATGTATTCACTAACAAATTCCAATAATACTCTTGTATCTAGGTCAACTTTGTTTGCTGAGTTGTATGCAATAAATATTCTGAACTATAACTTTTGTTTTTGTTTTTGTTTTTTTGAGACAGTCTCGCCCTGTCACCCAGGCTGGAGTGCAGTGGCAGCAATCTGGGCTCACTGCAAGCTCTGCCTCCTGGGTTCACGCCATTCTCCTGCCTCAGCCTCCCGAGTAGCTGGGACTATAGGCGCCCGCCACCACGCCCGGTTAATTTTTTTGTATTTTTAGTAGAGCCAGGGTTTCACCGTGTTAGCCAGGATGGTCTCGATCTTCTGACCTCATGATCCGCCCGCCTCGGCCTCCCAAAGTGTATAACTTTTGTTTTAATCAATATGTGCTTTTAAAAGTTCCTCTTTACCTCTTAATAGTCTATTAAATTTGTTCTTCTTTGTAACAGGCTTTTTAAAAATAGTCAATCTCATTTAATCCACTACACATACAGTGAACTTCATTCGGAGAAAGTATATTTCATCTCACCCATCTCTTTATCCTGCAGTTATATAAGTGACTTTCCATTTTGCTGTCCTTGTCTATGCTGTAAATGGCAAGTGGAATATTCTGCTTAGATTTCTTGCCCTTCTCCTTATTTCTGGGACAGTCTTCTTTAAATGTGTTTGTTGCTTTCTGTGTTCTTCTCTTTCAGAGTATGGTAATTTGCTCTGCTGTAATTACAATGTCTGTCTGGATACACCAACTTCTGTGAGCAAAGACTTCACCCTTAATGCTATCTAGAATGGCAACTATTAGCCAGGTTCCTCATTACTCAGACCGTAAAAAGATTACCTGCTGACTTCCACAATGGTTTCACTAATTTACACTCCCACCAACAGTATAAAAGCGTTCCTATTTCTCCACATCCTCTCCAGCACCTGTTGTTTCCTGAATTTTTTTTTTTTTTTTTTTTTTTGAGATGGAGCCTCACTCTGTCACCCAGCCTAGAGTGCAGTGGCAGGATCTTGGCTCACTGCAACCTCTGCCTCTTGGGTTCAAGCAATTCTCCTGCCTCAGACTCCCAAGTAGCTGGGACTACAGGTGCATGCCACCACACCCAGCTAATTTTTGTATTTTTAGTAAAGACAGGGTTTCATCATGTTAGCCAGGCTGGTCTCGATCTCCTGACCTCATGATCTGCCTGCCTCGGCCTCCCAAAATGCTGGGATTACAGGCATGAGCCACCACACCTGGCCATTTCCTGACTTTTTAATGATCCCCATCCTAACTGGCATGAGATGGTATCTCATTGTGGTTTTGATTTGCATTTCTCTAACGACCAATGATGATGAGCTTTTTTCATATGTTTGTTGGCAGTGTGGCGATTCTTCAAGGATCTAGAACCAGAAATAACATTTGACCCAGCAGTCCCATTACTGGGTATATACCCAAAGGATTATAAATCATCCTACTATAAAGACACAAGCACATGTATGTTTATTGCAGCACTGTTCACAATAGCAAAGACTTGGAACAAACCCAAATGCCTACTGATGACAGACTGGATAAAGAAAATGTGGTATATACACCATGGAATATTTTGCAGCCATAAAAAAGGATGAGTTCGTGTACTTCGCAGGGACATGGATGAAGCTGGAAATCATCATTCTCAGCAAACTAACACAAGAACAGAAAACCAAATACCACATGTTCTCACTCATAAGTGGGAGTTGAACAATGAGAAAACATGGACACAGGGAGGGGAACATCACACACCAGGACCTGTTGGGGAGTGTGGGGGTTAGGGGAGGGAGAGCATTAGGAGAAATTCCTCATGTAGATGATGGGTTGATGGGTGCAGCAAACCACCATGGCACATGTATACCTACATAACAAACCTGCACATTCTGCACATGTATCTCAGAACTTAAAGTATAATAAAAAAGGAAAAAGAGAGAGAAGAAAAAAAAGATTAGCTGCTGAGTACTGAAGAAATCCCCCCTCTCTAGGAGGGACTATAGAACATAGACTTCTAAACACTCTCCTCTGAGAAAAAGTTAGCATCTCTCTTTTCCTAAAAGTAAAATACTGATCTGGATGGATGAATTATGACATGTGCAGTTGAAAAGAGGCAACAGCATATGCAATCACTTTGTAGAAATCAATGCAATTTCATGGCAAGTTATTAGACGTGACCAATGGAATAATGGAGAAGATATGAATCTGTGTAATTCTCATTAATTCTTTCTGGAGCCAAGTCCCAATGTATTTGGCCATTCTATTTTAGACAGTTTGATTTTCATCCCAATCCCTTCCAAGTTTTGATACAGCTCACCCTTTAGTTTTACGATATTTATGACATCCCTTGAAGACACTAATTATGCATTCATATATTTTGTTAGATAATATTTGTAGAATGTTCTACAGTTTTCAGGGTAGTTTCCAAAATATTTTTTTATTTGAGCCTCACATCTATGCCATGAGTGAAGCAGAATGAAAATTATTAACTTTATTTTAAAGACAAGAAAAGTGGAAGCCAAAAAGGCCTAACAGGCTGTCCAAGAGTTTCTCCCCATCCCAGTAAATGGCAGAGCTGGGGCTTGAACCCAATTACTGTGCCTGGAGTACAGAATTATTTCCACTTCAGAAAGCTGCCTCTCAAAATGAATCCTATTGAATCCACAGGATACATCTGATAGAAAATCTCCAGTGTCTAAAATATTCTAAAGTTCACTACAGAATAAGATATTAAGATCCTCTAATCACATTTTTTTTTTAATGTAGGCCATTCTTGTCCATTACATTTAGTTGGTGACTAAGTCCATTAGTGCTGCTATAACAGAATATCTGAGCCTGGATAATTTACAAAGAACAGAGCCTTACTTCTTCGAAATTCTGGAGCCTGGGAAGTCCAAGGTCGAAGGGCCTACAACTGGCAAGGGACTCCTTGCTGCCTCATCCCATGACCAAAGGCAAAGGGCAAGAGAGGAAGAGGGGGCTGAACTTCCTTTTAGAACAAGCCACTCTCGTGCTAACTAACCCACTCCTGTGATAATGACATTAATTCAATCATGAAGGCAGAGCCCTCATGACCTAATCACCTCTTATCAGGCCCCATACACCAACACTGTTGCCTTGAGGATTAAGTCTCCAATATATGAACTTTAGGGGACACATTCAAACCACAGCACTCAGGTAAACGCAGGTTGATTAAAAATAAATGTATGTGCACATAATGATTTAGTACATGTTACACCACATCCCAAGAAGCTGCCATTGTCTCAGAATAACCACCCTGATTTGAAGCTTCACATAGTGGCATTCCAGTATTTAGATAGAAGGACAGTTTCTTATAAGGCTGGGAAAGAGGCACAAGTTTGCTAGAATTTAGGAGAATCTCCCAGTCTTGAGTGAGATTGAAATCAAAGTCACTGAAACACTATGAGTTGCCTTACTTCTGACTTTCATTTACATATTTTGGAAAGTATGATTCAACTTACACTGTAGCAGCAGAAAGAGGTAGGCAGAGGATGGCCTGAAGGATGAAGATAGGAATGTTAAAGGAGAGATGAAGAATGACAAATATGTCACAGGAAGAATAATTCATGTAGGTTTTTTTTTTTTTTTTTGAGACAGAGTCTCGCTCTGCTGCCCAGGCTGGAGTGCAGTGGCGCGATCTCTACTCACTGCAAGTTCCACCTCCTGGGTTCATGCCATTCTCCTGCCTCAGCCTCCCGAGTAGCTGGGACTACAGGTGCCCGCCACCGCGCCCGCCTAATTTTTTGTATTCTTAGTAGAGACGGGGTTTCACTGTGTTAGCCAGGATGGTCTGGATCTCCTGACCTCGTGATCCACCAGCCTCGGCCTCCCAAAGCGCTGGGATTACAGGCGTGAGCCACCGCTCCTGGACCTAATTCATGTAGATTTTTTAAATTACCTGTATCTGCAATGGTATTTCCAAACTGCTTTCAATATTATGGACTGATTATACCCTGATCTTTTTCCAGTTAGCAAATGTAAATCAAATTCAACTCAGAAACAACTTTTTAAAATTCTTGCCTCATATTTTCCTTCCAAATCCATTCTTCACAGAATTGTTCAAACCTGACTTTCACTAGTACTAGTCAGAGTTTTTGATTAATCAGAGAGAGAGAGACAGACCTTTCATTAATTCAGCATGCTACAGAGATCCAAGGATAAAAGCCCTAGTCCTTGAACCTTCTCATATTCAACTCTTAGACAAAAGCCACAGGTTTTCATAACTAAAAGGAGCATGTATGACAATTTAACAACTTACAATTATTAAGTCCTTATTGCATGAAGCATGGGATTCTCACAAAGTATCCACAAGGTAGTTGCTATTATTTTCCCAATTATCAGATGAGGAAAGAAGGGTTTGGGTTATTTGCCAAATGCTATGGTTTGAATGTGTTCCATAAAGGTATGTATTGGAAACCTAATCCCCAATGCAACAGTGGTGAGAGGTGGGAGCATTAAGTGGTGACTAGGTCACAAGGGCTCTGCCGTCATGAATGGATTAATATTATCATCCTGGGAGTTTGTTGGTTATCAAGGAATGGATCTGCTATAAAACCAAATTTAGACACCTTTTGTTCTCTCTCTTGTTTTCCACCTTTCATCATAGAACAAAACAGCAAGAAAGCCTTTGCCAGATGCCACCCAACTGATCTGGACTTCTCAGCCTCTAGAACTATAAGAAATAAATCTCTGTTCTTTACAAATTACCCAGTCTCAGGTATTCTGTTATAGCAGCACAGAAAAAACTAAGACACCAAGGAAGACACAACTTACGACAATGTCTGACATGAAATAACCCCCTGCATTAGTCAGTTCTCATGCTGCTAATAAAGACATACCTGAGACTAGGTAATTTATAAAGAAAAAGAGGTTTAATTGACTCACAGTTCCACATAGCTGGAGAGGCCTCACAATCATGGCAGAAGGCTAAGGAGAAGAAAGGCATAACCTACGTGGTTGCAGGCAAGAGAGCATGTGCAAGGGAACTCTCATTTATAAAACCGCCAGATCTCGTGAGACTTACTATCATGACAACAGAACATGAATTCCCATCTCCATGATTCAATTACCTCCCACTGGGTCCCTCCTACAACATTCGGGCATTATGGGAGCTACAATTCAAGATAAGATTGGAGTGGGGACCCAGGCAAACCATCTCACCGCCAAAAAGAAATTAATTGCCTCTCCCTCTAGAGTATCTGTGAGCCACACAGACATAGCTAGGAGAGAGGCCTGGGTAAGGGATATGATGAACTGGAGTCCCTGGATACAGAATGAACCGAGATCTAGCATGAGTCGAGGGCTGTGAGCCTGCCTGTCATGCTTTGTCATTATGTGCCACAAAGCACCATGGGGCAACAGATCAATGAAATCCTCTGAAAGAACTGTCTTGGGTTCCTAAGGAAAATAGGAACCCCACTCTCAGAAGGAGTCCCATAAGGGCCTGGACTCCTCAAAGCTGAACAGGGCAAGACATACGCACAAATCATCTGCTAATAGTAGCATCTAAATATAAAATATACTTAAAAGAAAAAAAAAGCCACTGTGTTAGGCCATTCTTGCATTGCTATAAAGGAATACCTGAGACTGGGTAATTTATTTTTTTTAAAGATGTGTAGTTGGTTCTGCAGGCTGAATAAACATGATGCTGGCATCTGCTCAGGTTTTGGAGAGGCCTCAGGGATCTTTTACTCATGGCAGAAGGTGAAGGGGGAGCTGGTGCATTTCATGACAAGAGGAGGAGCAAGAGAGAATAAGGGGGAAGACGCCACACACTTTTTAAAAAATATCCTACTTTTTTTTTTATTATACTTTAAGTTTTAGGGTACATGTGCACAACGTGCAGGTTTGTTACATATGTATACATGTGCCATGTTGGTGTGCTGCACCCATTAACTCGTCATTTACATTAGCTATATCTCCTAATGCTATCCCTCCCCCCTCCCCCCACCCCACAACAGGCCCCAGTGTGTGATGTTCCCCTTCCTGTGTCCAAGTGTTCTCATTGTTCAATTCCCACCTATGAGTGAGAACATGCGGTGTTTGGTTTTTGTCTTTGTGAGAGTTTGCTGAGAATGATGGTTTCCAGCTTCATCCATGTCGCTACAAAGGACATGAACTCATCCTTTTTTATGGCTGCATAGTATTCCATGGTGTATATGTGCCACATTTTCTTAATCCAGTCTATCATTGTTGGACATTTGGCTTGGTTCCAAGTCTTTGCTCTTGTGAATAGTGCTGCAATAAAATATACATGTGCATGTGTCTTTATAGCAACATGATTTATAATCCTTTAGGTATATACCCAGTAATGGGATGGTTGGGTCAAATGGTATTTCTAGTTCTAGATCCCTGAGGAATCGCCACACTGACTTCTACAATGGTTGAACTAGTTTACAGTCCCACCAACAGTGTAAAAGTGTTCCTATTTCTCCACATCCTCTCTAGCATCTGTTGTTTCCTAACTTTTTAATGATCGCCATTCTAACTGGTGTGAGATGGTATCTCATTGTGGTTTTGATTTGCATTTCTCTGATGGCCAGTGATGATGAGCATTTTTTCATGTTTCTTTTGGCTGCATAAATGTCTTCTTTTGAGAAGTGTCTGTTCATATCCTTTGCCCACTTTTTGATGGGGTTGTTTGTTTTTTTCTTGTAAATTTGTTTGAGTTCATTGTAGATTCTGGATATTAGCCCTTTGTCAGATGAGTAGATTGCAAAAATTTTCTCCCATTCTATAGGTTGCCTGTTCACTCTGATGGTAGTTTCTTTTGCTGTGCAGAAGCTCTTTAGTTTAATTAGATCCCATTTGTCAATTTTGTCTTTTGTTGCCATTGCTTTTGGTGTTTTAGACATGAAGTCCTTGCCCATGCCTATGTCCTGAATGGTATTGCCTAGGTTTTCTTCTAGAGTTTTTATGGTTTTAGGTCTAACATTTAAGTCTTTAATCCATCTTGAATTAATTTTTGTATAAGGTGTAAGGAAGTGGTCCAGTGTCAGCTTTCTACATATGGCTAGCCAGTTTTCCCAGCACCATTTATTAAATAGGGAATCCTTTCCCCATTGCTTGTTTTTCTCAGGTTTGTCAAAGATCAGATGGTTGTAGATAAGCGGCATTATTTCTGAGGGCTCTGTTCTGTTCCATTGATCTATATCTCTGTTTTGGTACCAGTACCATGCTGTTTTGGTTACTGTAGCCTTGTAGTATAGTTTGAAGTCAGGTAGTGTGATGCCTCCAGCTTTGTTCTTTTGGCTTAGGATGGACTTGGCAATGTGGGCTCCTTTTTGGTTCCATATGAACTTTAAAGTAGTTTTTTCCAACTCTGTGAAGAAAGTCATTGGTAGCTTGATGGGGATGAGATTGAATCTATAAATTACCTTGGGCAGTATGGCCATTTTCACGATATTGATTCTTCCTACCCATGAGCATGGAATGTTCTTCCATTTGTTTGTATCCTCTTTTATTTCATTGAGCAGTGGTTTGTAGTTCTCCTTGAAGAGGTCCTTCACATCCCTTGTAAGTTGGATTCCTAGGTATTTTATTCTCTTTGAAGCAATTGTGAGTGGTTCAGTCATGATTTGGCTCTCTGTTTGTCTGTTATTGGTATATAAGAATGCTTGTGATTTTTGCACATTGATTTTGTATCCTGAGACTTTGCTGAAGTTGCCTCTCAGCGTAAGGAGATTTTGGGCTGAGATGATGGGGCTTTCTAGATATACAGTCATGTCATCTGCAAACAGGGACAATTTGACTTCCTCTTTTCCTAATTGAATACCCTTTATTTCCTTCTCCTGCCTGATTGCCCTGGCCAGAATTTCCAACACCATGTTGAATAGGAGTGGTGAGAGAGGACATCCTTGTCTTGTGCCAGTTTTCAAAGGGAATGCTTCCAGTTTTTGCCCATTCAGTATGATATTGGCTGTGGGTTTGCCATAGATAGCTCTTATGATTTTGAGGTACGTCCCATCAATACCTAATTTATTGAGTTTTTAGCATGAAGGGCTGTTGAATTTTGTCAAACGCCTTTTCTGCATCTATTGAGATAATCATGTGGTTTTTGTCTTTGGTTCTGTTTATATGCTGGGTTACATTTATTGATTCGCGTATGTTTAACCAGCCTTGCATCCCAGGGATGAAGCCCACTTGAAAAATATCCAACTTTTATTTTAAGTTCAGGGGTACATGTACACTATGTGCAGGTTTGTTATATAGGTAAATGGCCACACACTTTTAAACAGCCAAACCTTGTGAGAACTCACTCACTGTCACAAGGATGGTGCCCAAGTCTGAGTGCTCAGCCCATGACTCTAACACCTCCCACCAGGCCCCACCTCCAACACTGAGGATTACATTTAACTTGAGATTTAGTGGGACAAATATGCAAACTGCATTAGCCACTTAACAAAAAACACTCAAAGCATAGATTGCTGATCAAGACACCATCTACAATGATAGACTGGATTAAGAAAATGTGGCACATATACACCATGGAATACTATGCAGCCATAAAAAATGATGAGTTCATGTCCTTTGTAGGGACATGGATGAAATTGGAAATCATCATTCTCAGTAAACTATCGCAAGAACAAAAAACCAAACACCACATATTCTCACTCATAGGTGGGAATTGAACAATGAGATCACATGGACACAGGAAGGGGAATATCACACTCTGGGGACTGTGGTGGGGTGGGGGCGGGGGGAAGGATAGCATTGGGAGATATACCTAATGCTAGATGACGAGTTAGTGGGTGCAGCACACCAGCATGGCACATGTATACATATGTAACTAACCTGCACAATGTGCACATGTACCCTAAAACTTAAAGTATAATAAAAAAAAAGACACCATCTAAATTATCATCTAGTTATCATAATCAAAGTCTTAAACTATAATATCTCAGTTGAGAAACAGAGGTAGAGCAATTTCTAGAAAAAAGTGAGAACCACTAACTAATTAACAGTAGCAAGAATGATAGCAAAAGCTAAGAATTATTGATGGTTTATTATACAGCAGCGATTGTTCCAATAGCTGGGTTATTTTACTTACATGCATTATTTTATTTAATCATCCTAACAATACTAAAACGTGGAACTATTATTACCCTCATTTTATGGATGAGGACATGGGCTCAGTGAGATTAAGTAGTTTGTCCATGATCAGATTGAGTGTAGGTGAACATTTAAGTCCAAGAGTGTCAGGCATTGAAACCTGTTATTAATAATCTCTCAGGTCCTAAACACCTTCACAGTTTCAAAACTGGGGAAAAATGCCTGTGGTCTAAAAGATGTAGCCCCTTCCTTGAGAAATGAGGCCAAAACTTTGGGTTAACATAATCTGTGAATGTCTTTTGATCTCTCCTGGGGTAAGATGGTTGCCTTTTCTGAGTACTTCCTGTATCGTTCAACCAAATTTAACTGTTTTTCTGTATTTCCTAATTCAAAAGAACAGTGCCAAAGGCACATTTAGAAAGAGTGGATTTCAATTTATAGATTATTAAGAAAAAAACTCATTCTCAAGTCTTAGTAAACGTCAAGAGGCTCCTTTTCCCACGTTTCCATTATATCCTAGACATTAACTGACTGTACCAAAACCATGGCATAGTATGATTTTTGTTTGCATATCTGCCTCCCTTCCCCTCTCTTCCCCCACCTCCCTCTCCAACACCCACACAGTGGACAGAAACCTCTTAAAGGGCAGATGATTAATTTTTTCCTATTTTATACTCTATTCAACTACCGCTTTATAAAAATATGTTAAATGGTTATATGAACCAAACCACATAGAAATAAGAAGTGGGAGTGGGGGAGGTGCCTGACAATTTCTGGCTTGCAAAAACCTCTAAGAAACATTTGCCAGAAGCATTGCTTCAGGTAACAGACATTCAAACTTGATTTCGCAGCTAAGAGGACTTCCAGCATAATGAAATAAAAACACTGACCTAATTTGAATAGCAATGATGATACATTCACCAAATGTCAATTTAAAGCTGTTACATTATAAAGGAAAGGGAGGGGAATACTCCTATCCAAGTATCATAATATTAATGAAAAGTCTGGAGAAGATATGAATACTAAGAGGCAGCAAATCTATAGGAAGTTAAATTTATCTAGATGGGTTACAATTGGATAATAAAATGAAGCATGCATTTGAGACAGCTTCCTTCTGAGATGATAAAGCATGGAGCTCATTCAGGCAGTAGCTAAGGGGTGAACAGTTAAAGCAGTCCTCCTCTGTGATTTATTACTCGGATGGTCCCTGCATAAACTTTTCAAAATTATGTTGTAGCCAGGACTGAGGAGCAGTGAGTATTGTGAATTCGCAATGCTGAACAATATGCTTTTGGCTGCAGAGCAAGTGAAAAGAAAAGATACTAAGTTTCTTGGAATTTACAAGCTATGAAAAAATAGTTGCCAATTTTGTTTCTTACATGAAAAGAAATGAATGAAAGGCTTTTTGCAGACAAATTTTGAGTTTGCCTCCTTGGGACACATGATGGATTCATAGTAAAATTACTCCCTTTGTCCAAGAGAAAGAAGAGGGTGTGTAGGTTTGAAAAATTTGCATGTCCATTCCATCAAAAAGAGGACAGATAAAAATGAGATGCTTAATATTCAGCAAATGAAAGGCATAGGAGGGTTGGGTGCCAAGCAAACATATGCTGACTTCCACAGTGCCAATCTATTTATATTTCCCTACACCCCATGCAGGTTTGCCCTTGTACATCCACTCAGCCTAGTCCACTGAAATTCAAGTTAGAACTGGAGGATTGGGAATGGTTGTTTACTCACAGTAGAAATAGAAGAAACAAGAGACCAGTGCCAAAATCTACAGAACTCAGGGAAAGAATTCAATATCATCAAAAGTTTTTCAGTAATATCCAGTACCACCTCCTCCACCCTCACCCACCCACCCACACACCTCTCATCTCTCCCCTCTGTCATATCTCTCTATATAAGGTGGTAGACTAGAAAAAACACGGTTTTTGTAGTTCAAATCCCTGGCTCAAATCTAACTTAACTATTAGGGAAGTCAAATAGCCAATTGAATTAGGAAAGTCAATCGTAAAGTTGGAACCTCAGTTCTTCATTTGTAAATATTGATGCTTGTTTTATTTTATTTTTTTGATGGTAAAACACAGGTGATTTTAAAATATTCAATAGAGTAAATTCATATGTAGGGAAAAGTAAGCCTACTCCTCTATCTTTGCTTTCCGGCTCCCTAGTCTCTTTGTATCTTTTTGCAGAGGTTATGGCTGGTATCTATATCTTATATATCCTTTCAGAGATAGTCTGTGTATGATAATAACAACAATAGTTAATGTGGAGTCCTAATAAGATAAGCAAGAATGAAGAAGGGGCCCCAGATTGGGGAGAACAATTGTTCTGAGAGAGGAGATGGCTTATCACAGACAACCGACTGACAGAACATCATGTTCCCAAATACCTAGTTTCTGGACATAGCCCTAGCAGCAGGACCTTATCTGCACAACTTATCTGGACATAGCCCCTCCAGTATGACCCTATAAAACTTCCCTCTAGCTCCTGCCTCTTGGTAGACAGCCCATTGTCCTGCGCATTGCTTTCTTGCAAGGTATCTTTGTACTTTCTCCAATAAATCTGCCTTTTTTACCCAAAATTGTCTTGGTAAATGTCACAGGTGGTGACAACTGGCCGCAGTCAGTTGCACCCACTGCAGCTAACATTTTACAAGGGATTGACTGCTATATGCCAGGGATGTCCTACGTGCTTTACCTATATTCACTCATTTAATCCTCAGAATAACTCAATGAAAAGGATTCTATTGTTCCATTTTGCAGAGGAGAAAACTGAGGCACAGAGAAGGCACACAGTTTAAAATGTGGTGAAGCCAAAATTATAATCCACTAATCTTGTTCAAAACCTGTTGAATAAATACCAGAATACCAGAGGCTACTTCAGAGTACAAGGAGTGTTAATATTCATTCAGAGGATAATGTGGCAGGCTTCCAGAGGATGAAATATGGGCACATAAGTTGTATTATATATGGAAGTGAAATGTGAACCCAAAATCATCATGGAGAAACCATTTGCTAGTTGCTGGTTTTCTGCCTGATGCCTTTATAATTTTCCTAATGTTTCATGGAATCGTGCCTCATTATTTGATTGTGATCAATGTTATGGAACACTCTGGAAGGTTATGTCTTGTGATTATTTGTTTATCTGGATGTTGTGGGATTACCTTACAAAAACCACAGGACAAAAACCTTTGAGCACTTAAGTAAGCAAGTTCCTTTTGACTGAGAATTATGCATTATACATAGACTCCTGGGTACAAAGAAGAAAAAAATACAATTTCCCATTTTTCAGGGGTACTGAGAGAACAGCCGGGGTTCATCGTCCTCAGAGGAAAAGAAGCATAGATGACAATGTCTGGAAGGCAGCTAGAGTCAATACTCCACAGACGAAGGTCAAGGGCTTGGAAGGGCCAGGTATTCTGATGATAATGGAGAATTCAAGAACTTTCAGAGATCATATAGTTCAATATTTCACACAGTCTTTCAAGGAACATCGGCCTTCAGAGATATTATGTCCCACAGGCATTTCATGTGCAAATAAATTTGAGAAACACTATATACCTCTCCTCTTGAAAATATACAGAACACCATATCATATTAAGAATTCTGAAGGGATTCTATTATTTTTCAAAAAAAAAAAAAACATTCAACGCATTAAAAGAATAAACTAATTAACGTGTTCACCCAGAATTCTTACAAACTGATCTCATTAAGAAACATTTTTTTCTTGAGACACCTGTTAACACCTAATAGAACCTTGGAGCACACTGTTGACACATTAATGTAAACAAGAGTCCAGTAGCAGCACCATCCAGGCACATGTGTACCCTTTACCTGCCTGTCTCTCTGTCCAAGGTGGGGCCAGTAATGGATTCTCAACTACATTATCCCCTTCTCCCCACACTTCCAGCCTCAAGGAGAAAATGGCAGTCTGACATACTTAGCATGACCTGCACACAGTCACAGATTATGTTAGAAGTATATCTAGGTCTAGTTCTAGATCCCTGAGGAATCGCCACACTGACTTCCACAATGGTTGAACTAGTTTACAGTCCCACCAACAGTGTAAAAGTGTTCCTATTTCTCCACATCCTCTCCAGCACCTGTTGTTACCATTTGACCCAGCCATCCCATTACTGGGTATATACCCAAAGGATTATAAATCATACTGCTATAAAGACACATGCACACGTATGTTTATTGCGGCACTATTCACAATACCAAAGACTTGGAACCAACCCAAATGTCCAACAATGATAGACTGGATTAAGAAAATGTGGCACATATACACCATGGAATACTATGCGGCCATAAAAAAGGATGAGTTCATGTCCTTTGTAGGGACATGGATGAAATTGGAAATCATCATCCTCAGTAAACTATCGCAAGGACAGAAAACCGAACACCGCATGTTCTCACTCATAGGTGGGAACTGAACAATGAGAACACATGGACACAGGAAGGGGAACATCACACTCTGGGAACTGTTGTGGGGTGGGGGGAAGGGGGAGGGATAGCATTAGGAGATATAACTAATGCTAAATGACGAGTTAATGGGTGCAGCACACCAGCATGGCACATGTATACATATGTAACTAACCTGCACACTGTGCACATGTACCCTAAAACTTAAAGTATAATAATAATAAAATAAAAATAAATAAATAAATAAATATATCTACCAAAAAAAAAAAAAAAAAAGAAGAAGTATATCTAGGTCTCCTGTTCCCTGCCCAGTGCACCGGTGTTTCCCTTCAGGATGCTTCACAGGTGAACTCATCCTATTTTTTGTTGGAAAAACACTGTTGAACAAATACTGCAGCTTAGAAGGTGCCACTTCAGAGCACATCCAGAAATCCTAGATTGTTTTTCTTTTTAGGTCTATGGGATTCCCACCTATACACTGGCCTTATACCCAAGAGAATGTACTTCGTATATTGTGTTACTACTGGTTCAGAAGGAATAACAACAAGGTATGCAAAAAAAAAAATGAAAGACTAGTACTTTTTTAAAAAGGCTTTTATTGGCAGAAATTGGAAAGCATGTTTTATGGAAAGGAGAAGGAGAATTAGAGTGGGGGAAAGTGGCCAAACAGCCAGTTAAACTGCCCCCTGTTTGCCTCATCATGCCAGTCTCTCACTTCCATGAGTCCTGAATCTCTCCCATTTGACAAAAGAAAATGGTTAATGGTGAGAGCTGACATCAGTGGCATTTACAAAGATAGAAGCTCCCACCATAAAGCTACAGTCCTGCCGTCACAGCTCTGAAAATGCTGTCAGAGGCATTCTGGCACCATGGGAGAGGCCTTTTAGATACAAGCGAGAGTGTCCACTTGCAGAAAGTGGGCAAATCCTGAGCTACGCACCTGCTATGTTATTGTGGAAGCAGCTGTCATATGAACATGGGCACAACCCCAGGAAACCAGGCCTCACAGAAGCTATCAACCTCAATACTCACCTGGCACCAACACTTTACGGAATGTACCTTGAGACTAATGCTCACATTTCTGCACATCCTAGCAGGAGACTCATCCCACCATTTGTCTTCACTAAACAGAAAACACCGTCACACACAATGACCACCTTATGCTTAAGGATTTACCAAAATCATTATAGGGACTATACAGTATACTCAGCTCAGAGACAGGTTTAAGAAAAGAAATTGGTCTCCAGTAAGTTAAAATTTTTTCCTGGAAAAAACAAAAAACAAAAAAATTCTAGCTTTTCAGAAAATTTTGAAAGAAAGAGGTACATTTTTAAAGAAGGCCTGCAGTTGAATACCAGTGGCTGAAAATTGAGAAAGCGGAGAAGTAAAGGCTATCTATCGTCCACAGTGACCTGAGCAGAAAGATAACACAACGTATGAAGTACTTCTTTAGTCCCTACAATCAATCCAAAACAAAAGACCACATGGATCAACTTCAAAGCCTAAATAGTGGCTTAAGCTTAGCTCTTCAGGGTTTTTTTTTTTTTTTAAATCTGTTCATTTATTCTCTCATTCAGCAAGTATTTCAGGATGTCAATGGGCTCACAATGAGTTAAGCTCCATAATCAAGAGATAAAAACCTCAATTTTAATCATTATCCATTCATTCAAAAAATAAATGAATAAACATGATTAAATGCTTATTAAGGTCAACGCTAGCATTACCTTTGTGAGGTACTTGGAATAAAGATGAATCAGACATAGTCTCTGCTTTGCTAAATTTCACAGTGTAAAGGGGAAACTGACACGTAAACTAACTTAACAACACACCATGGTATGCACCATAATAGAGCTCCATATAAAGCACTCTAGGAACACTCCTCTGTACTTCCGACTCTTCTATCTGCATTATTTATTTTCACAATTCACATTTCCTTCTCCCAGTGATGATGCTCTTACATCTGAACAAGAAAGTCAATGACAAAGCCACCAGTCTCTTCTCTGACACTCAGTTTTAACCAGGCACCCAGTAGGAGGGATCCCACGGTGGTCATCCCTAATGACTGGTTTTGGATGCAGTCAGGGCTCAGGGTTTCTCTCTGGGCACCTTAGCCAACTTCAGTGTGAATGTGAGGAAGCAGCAAATTGTATGTGGTCTGTGTGCCAGAGTCATCAACATTTTCTCAGGAGAACACTTGCCCGGCCACTTCTCTGGGATGAGCCAAGAAAAAAGATCTTTGCATGTCAAATGAAAGAAACTGGTAATGAAGGCACTGAGGATGAACACATTAGCAAAAGAACAGTGGGCACATCATGGGGCATCTGGTTTGCTCTCAGAATGAGAAAAACAGAATTGCATATTAGAAGGGGTCATTAGCCTGAGGCCATGACAAGTGTTTAACCTTTTTTGGTTTGCAAGCCAACTTCTATCAAGCACCCACTCAAGGACAACTTGTAAGAGTATAACTAATATGTCATTGTACCAATGCCACATTTCAACCTGTATAACTGATATCCCAGCTGTTCCTTTCAACACCCCACTTCTTTGCTATGCATTTCTGCTTCATAGAAACTATTCTCTTGTTAATTCATTAATTTACCAGATACTTGCTGAACACCAATACAAACCTACAGAAGGATAACTGCACTACTGAGACATATTTCTTTTTTTGAGACAGAGTCTAGCTCTGTTGCCCAGGCTGGAGTGCGGTGGCACTATCTTGGCTCACTGCAACCTCTGCCTCCTGGGTTCAAGTGATTCTCCTGCCTCAGCCTCCTGAGTAGCTGGGATTACAGGTGCACGACACCATGCTTGACTAATTTTTTTGTATTTTTAGTAGAGACAGAGTTTCGCTATGTTGGCCAGGCTGGTCTTGAACTCCTGACCTCAGGTGATCTGCCTGCCTCGGCCTCCCAAAGTGCTAGGATTACAGGCATGAGCCACTATGCACAGCCGACATACTTCTTTTAATACAGGATCCTAAACAGCGGATAACTCAAAAACACTACTCCACAACTTCTGCCACATCAGTACCGGAAATAAAAAATAGTCATGCTATGGATATTGACATTACAAAAGTTTCAGAGGCTCCAATCATTACCAGGGGTTGTACTTTCTCAAATTTCTTCTTCATGCAATTGCTTTGATAATGAAAAGCTGAGCTCAATATCTTCTGTGAAACATTGTTGATAAGAAACTCCACCACCAGAATACTAAACTTAGCATCTTAAGATACTACATGAAGCTTAACTTTTTCACATATGTTCCTATCTCTTCTTAAGTAAACATCATATTTCTGGAAGCCAGGAATCCTGTGTTAAACTTTCACGATATTGCTGAGAATGTTTATCATTGTGTTGGGCACAGAGTAAGTGCCTAATAAACACATCAGTCAGCCAATGGAATATTCAAGTATCTTCTACTTAGTAGCTTTGTATCATAAAAGAAAATTTGATAGCTCAGTATTAAAGATTTAAAATAACTACAACTAAAAGGTAGAGTCTGAGTAGTTCTAATCCACAAAAGCAACATGTTAGATTAATAGGATTGCATGGCATTAACATCTTTGCTACTTGGGTGTAAATCTGACTGGCAATAGTGCACTTAGAAGGAAACACTTCAGAAACATCTATCCATATGCATCGTAATCATGTACCTAGCAAATAGGAAACACACCACACCTTGGAGAGCTCCCAGGCTTTAAAGAGACATTTTATCTAATACATGGGTCATGTTAACTGAAATTTCAATTCTAAAAATTTTAGCTTTATAGTTTTGAAAACAGAATTAAAAAGGATCTCATCTTTATACAATGCCTACCCTTGCAATCTCATCAATGACATCATCTATGCCAGGAAAAAGTTTCCCTTCAAAGGGAACTGTTTGAATTCATGTAATGAGCTGCTAGCTGGTTTCCCATTTCTTTCTCTTCCATGCTTCTTAGAGAATCAGAGATGCAGTCAGTTTTTCAGCTAATTAATTGGAGGATGAGGATTTGAAGGAAGAAATAGACTCCACGTTTCCGTGTGAATGAATCCAATTGTACCAACAAAACATTCAATTGTTTGATATTCACATGATATATACATTGGGGAGGTAATGGGTCAAGGAAGTGACACACAATTTGTAGAGGAATTGTTTTTGGAGTCATATGTATGTGTATATATATATATATATATATATATATATATATATATATATATATATATATACATACACACACACACACACCCACATGTATATATACTCATATATATCTTGCATATATACACATATATACCATATACCATATATAATACATATATGTACATATATTCACGTGTATATGATGATGATGATGACTAAAACAATATTTGTGAGAGATATATATTACTTACATATACACTTATATATAAGTATATATACATATATGTATATTATTATATACATTACTTTCTAAAGATTTCTTCTTTCAACCATGCTCATACATTATTTTCTAAAGATTTATTCTTTCAACCATGCTCCTACATTTTGAAATAGAATGCCTTGATTGGGAATTAGAAACATTTCTAAGAATAATCTCTTCTCATCAAGTCAAATTTCATCTCAACCAAGATGTATGGATTTTTAAAATTCCTTTTAGTTTTTATATATTGATGAGAAATAATGGCATACAAACCATTTATTAAACTGAATATTATGCCTAGGGAAGGTTGGGAAGTAGATTGCTGAGGGATTTAAATTTAGTGGTTAAAATGGGGCTGTGTGAAAACTAATCTAATCTTAATATTTAAGCAGTATTTTTCTCCAGGGCAAGCCAGTCATCGGAAGAACAACACAGCCACCCTAAAGAGAAAGATGAGCTGCGAGGCACTGATGGCATGCCCACTGATGTGTATCAAGTGCACGTCCCGCTGCGGAAAGAGACACGTGTTCCTCCAAAAGGCACTCTGCTTTTTAACTCTCAGGTCTCAGACAACAAACCAAAGACACTCCTGAGACTTCAGCAGGAGTGCCCCAGACAGTGCATGAGCATGTACGATCCATTCCTTATTTTCTCTATGTCATTTCCCTGCAGAGTCAAAACAATGCATTCATTTAAAGTCCATTTATTCCAAATTTTGTTCTATGAAAAAAGGGTATATGTGTGGGAGGGGGTGGGAGCTGGAGGCGGGGGTGTAGTTTTGTGTTTAAGGAAAAAAAAAAAAAAAACACAAAAACTCAAAAGTACTGGTAAGTCCAAGAACATTAAATGACTATATAACTGGAGGAATCAGGTTTTAACCCCTCTTCTCCTGACTCGCTGAGGGACTAGTCAAGTAATTTAAATCTCTGGACCTCCGTAAAGGTAAAATGAGCTCACATCCATTTTTTAATCAGGAGCACTAGGTGGATGTCTGATAACACTGTTTTTCATATATAGCCCAATGCCTGGCATATCGTAGGTACTTAATAAATACTTGATACATGTATCCTGTGGATTTTTTGGATGCTGCTGTTCATGGAAAAATCAGCCTCTGTAAAATGTTTTAAAGAGGTTTATTCTGAGCCAATATGAATGGTGCAGCCCAAGAAAACGCAAACCCAAGAAGTCTTGCATAATTGGTACCAAAGTAATCAGGTTACAGCTTGGTTTTATACATTTTGGGGAGATAGGAATTGTAGGTAAAATTATAAATCAGTACATGAAAAGTATACATTGGTTTGGCCTGAAAAGGTGGGACATCTTGAAGCATGGGCTTACAAGTCATGGGTGAGTTTTAGAGATACTTTAGTTGGCAATTGATTGAAAGAGTTAAGCTTTGTCTAAAGACTTGAGGTCAATACAAAGGGATGCTTAAGTCAAGATAAGGGGTCTGCTATCTGCCATGTGAGGGTATACCAGAGTCAGATTGGAAAGTAAGCCACATTATGCAGGATTAATTTTTTAAAAAAAGATTTTACGGTTTGCAGAGCATGCCTTAACCCTTGCTTTGCATGGCCTTAGGTCTTATTTAGAATGTGGTATTTTAGTGTCACAATGAGTCCCTTTAGTTAATCTTATGATCTCTATTTTAATGTTAATGCTGGTCAGTTGTGCCTAAACTCTAACATAAAGGGCATGTAATGAGGCGTTTCTGACCTCGCTTCCATCAATGGCCACGAACTCAGTTCTTCAGTCTTTTCTGGGGTCCCTTTGGCCAACAGGGAGTCATCTGTTCAGTTAATTACGGGAGCTTATGAGTTAATTTTTAGTTGATAGTGCTAAGATTTTTATAAAATGTTTTGAGTGCCATATAGTACAATGAGACTATTTCCAGTATAATACAAACAAAAAAATTCACTTTACTTTCATGACATGGCATTGCTTTAGAATGAAATCAAACTTATTTGACACCTTATTTAGTAAGTTGGTCCACAGATCTGTAGGTTACTGAGTTACTCTGCTACAAATAGATAAAATAATAGATCAAATGATGAGTACCTCATGAGGGACATTTTCCTGTTACCAGAGCTCTGAAACATGACGTTTTTCTTCCATAGACTCTAAGCACCTCCTGCCCCTAGCAGGCTCAGAGAGATGAATGGGTTAGAATTAATTTGAAAAAAACCATAGATAGTAAGCTCGTGGGACCAGTCCATTTATGTATTTATTACTTTTATTTTGCTAAAACCACTACCACCAAAAATAAATATTAGAGAATAAATACTGCTTTTCGAGTATATCCTGGCAAGAGCAATATAAAAATAATTTAAGACCAACCATGTAATTATGTGCATTTATTCCAACCTTCCATTACCAGAGATAACAAGATGAATAGTAAAATGTGAACTTTAACAATCCTGTAATTATAGCCACTGAACCGTATATTATTGAAAGAATTGTGCAAAATCCAGATGCAAAAGAATCAACTTGGTAGGTAAATAGAAATGAAACAGTAAAATAATCAAGTAATGAAGAAGTAATGCAAAAAACTAAATCGCTTTCCGGAATCTTTTATTGCCACGTTTTCATTTCTTTAACAAATACTGAGTTTATTTTTATCATTTTGCCACACTTCTTACAATTACATATTGTTCAGCAGCTATAACCAACCAGCCCAGTCAAATATTCTGGGATTGCTTTTTATTCAGTTTCCTTTTTTTTCCCCCCAGAACATAATTGGAATTGATAGAGTGTTTTCCATGAGCATTTTGTGTAATGAGGGCAATAATATACACTTCACTGGTATTTCTTGAACTGTAAGAATTTTTACATTTGTTTAGTAGGTGCAAGTCACAGCAATAACAACTATATTTAAAAGAGTGTAGGTATTTCTCTGTATGAGAATGAGCATGGCATATCAGAATTGGACCTAAACATCTCATTCATCAGTAGATGGTTTTGAATTTGTTGACAGTAATTTGGGGTGTTGATAAGAAGCGTCAGATTCACAGAGTTAGGAAATGAAGACAGTCTATTTATTTAAAATGAAGTAAACTCAAGGTCTCTTTTTATATTTGTCAGGGGTGATATCTTAATGGGTATCTCAAAAATATTTTTTTCTAGAATTAAGTCACAGTTAATGCTCAATGATGTCTACTAATGAAGGGGTTGTGATATGCACGATAAAAATAAAAATAGTAAAAAAGCAGTGTATGCTTTGAAACGAATATGTCAAGTTTCTTTGGGGGTAGGGGAAGTGGAAGAGGAAAATGGGAATTTCAGAAAATTTGTCTTCCCAGTAATGTTTTATTTAAGCTAATATTAAAATCATTCACATATCCAATTCACACATTCACACATGCACCTTGACTAACAAAAGCATCAAAGCCAGCATAGAACTTAAAATACCACATTGCATGATCAAGAAAATGGACAATCAAGAGAGGGGTATCTCTGATCTTTTTCTAAAGAGCCAGTGGTAGACAACAGTCTAAAGCACAGTCAGGCATTATCTCCATGTGGTTTTAATTTGCCTTTAGTTTTCCTATGAGGAATTATTATATAATATAATAAATTAAGAAGATGCATGCACCTCCTTGGGGAAAAGCTCTTGCAAGATAGAATCTAACCTTGGAAATTATTTTTATTGTATCAGGGAGGAAAGAAAGAATGATGACAAAATGTATTATACAGAGGGATAAGCTACCACAGGGAAAGTTACAAGAACAGAGACCCTGTGTGCCGAAATTTATCTTTCTAATCAATCTTCGAATGCTTTAGAAGACTTCCTGAATCTTATTTTCAAAATATAAACTCCAAGTTTAATATGGTGTGTTTTAGTCTTAAGGAATCAATTTTCTTCACCTTTACAATTATGATGAGTTGATTCTCTCTCACACACTCTCTATGTGTGTCTTAAGTATGTGTATGTAGACATGTAGGTTTGATTAAATGTACATGTGTGGATATAAATGCTTTGTATACACTGTTAAAATGGCCATCTATATCAGCATATAAATTGTTCAACAAATGAAGTAAAGTGAGAAAAGATATTTGGCAGACTGATTTTAAATGTTCTGCCATTTTGGTTGACATTTACTTATTTATTTTTCTATATTATTTTAAAGAGTTTCCTTTGTGGAACATCCCACTTAAAGTTCCATGAATTTAGAGTCTTGTCTATCTCTAGAGGAATTAACATATACCTACAATAAAAACAGCATCGTTGGGTATTTTGTGTTTTAATTATCCTCAAATAAAATGGGCAGTACCATTACTATGAAGGTGCATAAGAATTTTCCCCACAAACGTATACGTTCACTGCCATCCAATGATCCATACTGATCATTGATAGATCTTATCAACAAAGAATTCACCGTGCCTGTGAAGTGAGGGCCCTGTTTTACTAATTTGATCTATTAAATATCAAACCTGATAAAACCATGTGAATGGGTTTCCTTCCAGACTATACACAGCTAAAATCTGGGAAGGATTTAAATACCATTTTTTAAACAGTTTTTTAAAAAAAGACATTTATTTGGATTAAACATATCAGATATAAAACTGGTTTGATGGTCACTTAAATAAGTGGTAATCAAGAATGTTAGTAGGACCAGTCTGGGATTCAAAAAAAAAATATTATATGCAAGTATCTATTCCTAGATACCCACCTAAAAGAAATAGCCTACTGTCTGCCAGAAGGCAGAAGGTTGAATCATATGTTCTGTCACCCTAACTCTCTGTGAGCTTTTATTCTATATTTTAAAAGGTATGGTGTATTTTAGTAATTTATTCCTTACAAACACATGACTAAAGGGTAGAAAAAAAATGTGGACAATGAAAGCTTCAGGAGATGATGGATTATGTAGCCACCAGCTGAGTGTTTCCAGGGCTGACAGCAAAATCCACCTGATCTGCCATATTCTTTTTCTACTGCTTGATACCTGGAACAGTTAGAACAACATTTATTGAGCATTGCCATTTTTCTCACACAATATGAGAGAAATGGCACTAAGTCTCATTAGCTGATACAATTTCTGCTTCGCTGTATGACTCTGAGGATGATATTTAGGTTTTCATAGTCTTGGGTTTTGGTTCTATAAAATAGAGTAACATTTTTGCAAAATTGTTACAAGGTTTAAGATAATGCTTGTAAAGCATCTGGCATAAGGCTTAGCACATATTAGACTCTTAAAACAAGTTAACTGCTCTTATCAGTATTTATACCTAATTGTGAATGAATTTAAGTCACCTTGTGGGAAATGTTTTTATTGAAAAGAAGAAGAAAGTTTATTAGAAAAAGATTTGTGTTTCTAATGAAAGTTAGAGGTAGTCCCAAGCTCAGTCAGTTGAGGCGGTAAAAGCATGTATTTTGGAGTCAAACATCCCACTACACCTTCTGGACGAGTTATTTAACATAAACTTGGCCAGGCACGGTGGCTCATGCCTGTAATCCCAGCACTTTGGGAGGCTGAGGCAGGCAGATCACCTGAGGTCAGGAGTTCGAGACCAGCCTGACCGACATGGAGAAACCCTGTCTCTACTAAAAAAACAAAATTAGCCAGGCATGGTAGCGCATGCCTGTAATCCCAGCTACTCGGGAGGCTGAGGCAGGAGAATCGTTTGAACCCCGGAGGCAGAGGTTGCAGTGAGCCAAGATGGCGCCATTTCACTCCAGCCTGGGCAATAAGAGCAAAACTCCATCTCAAAAAAAAAAAACAAAAAAAAACCCAAAAAAACAGAAACAAAAAAAACCCGATAAACTTTAGCTGGTTGTTCTATAAAACAGAGATTATAATAGTTATCTCATTCTTTGGAGAATTAAATGCAATAATGTGTAGAAAGTGCTTACACAGTGTCTGGCTCATAGCAACTCAATAAATTGGGGCTGTTCTTCCTTACTAAATGGTGGGGATAGAAGTGAAGCCAAGTTCAAGGGAGAACAGCAAAGGCCGACTTTCCTTACTTCATGTTTGTCTTTTCTGTCTGATTAATACCAAGTTAGGTAAATTAACCAAACAATATGTGAAGGTCAATGCGCCCAAGAAACCTTCTGGATGTGTACCAACACAGAAACTCCATATACGGAAAGTGTACTGAAATCTCAACAGAATGGGGGCAGCATAGTGACCCATGAGCTGACTGTGAGTCAGCAATGCAGTATCACTATTTCTTAACTGACAGTTCCTGGCGTACATTATCAGCCCTGCTCTATGTCTTCAAGATTAGTCATGTTCCTGCTGAAGTGCTTTTGTCTGGCTCAAGCGTCTACATTTTTCAAAAGGCTGGAGAAATTACACTAGCGCAGAGACTATCAAGTAAACTGATTAAAGTGAGAAGGATCAGAAATAATTGAAAAAGAGAAAATTGAGGGGTAACATCTGTCCATGATTTTACCATGAGACAGGGAAACCAAACATAAAAAAGAATAAATGGGCCCACACCGCTACAGGATGTAAGTGGGATATTAGGAAAAACTTGTACAATCAAAATTTCTCAGTGTCTCTGTCTCATTCCATGCACCAGGTCATCAAACCTTTGCCTTTCTGTGAATATGTTTCAATCGACTTTTCTAAGTACCTAATTCCATGGATCACTCACCATAAAAGATTTGTTATACACCATGGACATTTTATGGACTTGGCCAAGTTCTTTATAACATTGAAGTCACTACCAATCGCCTTTCCTATAAAACTACACAATGAATATCTGTCATCCTCCTTGACATAGAAGCCAAAATAGAATGGACGGAAGAATTCATCAAATACTCTACTTCTAAAGCCTCCACTTTCTTTCACTATAAGCCCACCTGTTCCTGACTGGCCCGTCCTTGCCTCCAGGCTTGTTCCATTGTACCCACCTTTGATTATACCCTCTACCTAGTTTTGGAACTTCCTACATCATCACACTGCTCGTCATCACTATAACTTTTATTGAAATACCATTTTCAGAACAACTCTTCTTTCCTCTGTTTGCACGTAGTTTTTGCTTATTTACCACACGATTGATTTTCCAACTCCATTGTTGTATTATCCAGTGGTGAAAGGTATTTTTCATACCTGATAGTTTGAATGTGACTGAATAGAATAAGTTTCCTGCCAGAGAATTTGGCTGATTTCAGTGGCCTTTTGATGTAATTATTTTGCTTTCATTCTTGGAAATGGAATCCACAAAAAAATTAATCTAAGCAAATTCACTAATGGGGATTAAATGGAACAAATGGTTGAAATATTCACAGAGTACCAATTTTGTTTTAAATAAACTTTTCTGTTTCCAGACCAAACTCTGATGGTGACTGATGTCTAGGTGGGAAGTTATAAGATTTTCTGCTGCTTTTATTTTCCTGGTACATCTTCTGGCAGACAGAGATGCAAATGTATAGGGAATGGTCAACAACACAGCTCAAAAGGTGGCAGAGGTAGAGTACACAAATTAACTCATTACCCTTTGATGAGTAAGGAATTCAAAGATGCTATGCAGAGTATTGACTGAGAATGAGCCAAGAAACACTGAACTCAGAACAGCATGCTTTGTACAATTATGGCACTTAAACAATGAGATAAAAGTCTTTTAAAGTAAAAATTAGGAAGACAAGTTTTCTTTATTCTGTGCTTATTAAAATATAATTCATATGCATTTCTAGCCTCAACACTTAGCATCAGCCATGGCAAAAAGTAGGTATTTAATAAGTGGTTGTAGAATCAATGTTAGTTCATTTCAGAAGCTAAGGAGGAAGGGATCCATAAAATAGTCTGCCCCAATCCTCTTAATTGTTTTTACAACCAACTTTTCATATATTCTCATTCCATAGCCACATGAAATTTGGCCAACTTTAGTATGCAGTCACTTCAATTCCTAAACTGGGGAATTTTAAAAATAGGGTATGTCCCCTTGTTCTGGCCCAAACAGAAATCCTGCTCCTAATATGTCCTTTTATTGACAAAGTCAGTATCATGTAAAGCCCCATAGAGGTAATAATGCTCCAAGTGATGAAATGATCACTTGTAATCATTGCAATCAATGTAAAGATGAAAACGTTCAGGAACCCTGATCTTTTTATTTATTTATTTATCTTTGGTTATAGTATATCCAATAGACGTTTCAGAAGCTCCAAGAGTCAACTCAAAGACTTACTCCAGAACACAGATTTGCAAACATCACAAGAAGCAGAAACATGGGATTATCTTCTTGGATTCCCTTCCCACAGCACAGTTTAAACCATCAAATGTAACATCATTACAAGCTTTCTTAAATCCCAAGCCTGCCACTTACTAGCTCAATGATCTTGGTGTGGTTATAAAGTTTAACTGATTCCCAGTTTCCTCATCTATACAATGAGAAGTGTGTAAGCTAGGCTACGTGCTAGTCTATTTATTTTTTAAAAAATAATAACAATAATGCAAATAAAGATCTTTGGCACTGTGTCTGACATGAATTAACATTAGTTCTTATTCTTTCTTCTTTTCTCTCATTTTCCTTTCCCTGATGTGATGTTACAGAACAGGGCCCTGAAGCCGGAATTGGGAAATCTGAATCCTTGATCTGAGTCCTAGGCAAGCTTTCTGTCATGTCTCTTCCTATATTTCTATCATCCTTCCACATGTAAATGAACAGACAAAACTTTAAAAAATTAGACTTAATAAAATGTGAAGGTCAAATATGTGCTACATAAGCTTCAGCCTGCCATGCATCCAAAACCTGCACTACCCACATGGTTGTCAATCCGTAAACACATGAAATTTGGTCAGTCAGACTAAGGGGGCAGGGCGTGGTGGCTCACGCCTGTAATCCCAGCACTTTTGGAGGCTGAGGCTGGTGGATCACGAGGTCAGGAGATCGAGACCATCCTGGCTAACACAGTAAAACCCTGTCTCTACTAAAAATACAAAAAATAAGCTAGGCGTGGTGGTGGACGCCTGTAGTCCCAGCTACTTGGGAGGCTGAGGCAGGAGAAAGGCATGAACCCAGGAGGCAGAGCTTGCAGTGAGCCAAGAATGCGCCACTGCACTCCAGCCTGGGTGACAGAGCAAGACTCCATCTCCAAAAAAAAAAAAAAAAAAAAGACTAAGGGACTGAGTTTTTAATTCTATTTAATTTTAATGAATTGAAAAAGATTTTAAAAATGGATTACTGATTCAGTTATTGAGAAGCTATTTCTGTGTTTTTAATATTGCTACTAGAAAAGTTAAAATTATCCATGTGACTCTCATCAAATCTCTGTTCGAGAATGCTATCCAGAAAATGCATACATTCATTCAAATGCCTTCCCTGTGCCACACACATGCTTTCTTTCTGAACTGAGAATAATGACATAAAAACACTATAGTTCTTTGGGCTTCTTGGTAGAATTATATATTGTAATAATTAATGAATGAAGAGCAGCAAGCTACTGTAAATGAGAAGAGATGCCCAAAATTAGTGAGCTATGGAAAAAAAGAAGACAGAGAAAGAGGAGAAGAGTCTAAATTAGAAGTGCATGGAATGTTCTCACTTTTATATGGGAGCTAAGAATTAAAACAATTGAACTCATGAAGATAGAGAGTAGAATGACAGTTACCAGAAGCTGGGAAGGGTATTGGGGAGAGAAGGGAAAGGTAGAGACAGTTAGCGGGTGCAAAAACATTGATAGAATGAATAAAATCTAGCATTTGATAGCACAACAGGGTGACTATAGTCAACAATTATGTATTGCATATTTTTAAAAATTAAAAAAGTGGAATTGGAATGTTCCTAACACAAAGAAACAGTAAATGCTTGAGGTAATGAATACTCCAATTATCTTGATGTGATATTTCACATTATATGCCTGTATCACAATATCACATGTATACCATACATATATACTTATTATGTACCCATAATTAAAAAATTTTAAATTTTTAAAAAAGTAAGTACATGACAAGTAACTTATCAGTGCTCCGATTTTTATCCCAAGTATCCCGGACTGAACCCTTTCAGTGTTAATCATAGCATTCTGTTTATGTTTTACACACAGAGGTGCTGAAGAGAGGGGTGCTTGCATGGTTCATCTTGAATCATTTTCATCATGCCCTAGCATAGTACTAGTCACATAATAGATGTTTAATAAATACTTGTTAACTATCAATTTTATCTCTGCAATCAGAAAGCGGTCTGATCTTAACCTCTTTCACAGAAATATCAATTTTAACATACATTATACGTATCAGATTTTGAAGGCACCTTTAAAAAAACAAAACTATATATTCAAGTTATTAGTGCAATTTGTGCCAAAACAATATCGATTCGAGATGGTTTAATAAAACTCTTCTTTTTTTTCTTTTTTTTTTTTTTTTTTTGAGACAGAGTCTCGCTCTGTCGCCCAGGCCGGACTGCGGACTGCAGTGGCGCAATCTCGGCTCACTGCAAGCTCCGCTTCCCGGGTTCATGCCATTCTCCTGCCTCAGCCTCCCGAGTAGCTGGGACTACAGGCGCCCGCCACCGCGCCCGGCTAATTTTTTATATTTTTAGTAGAGACGGGGTTTCACCTTGTTAGCCAGGATGGTCTCGATCTCCTGACCTCATGATCCACCCGCCTCGGCCTCCCAAAGTGCTGGGATTACAGGCGTGAGCCACCGCGCCCGGCCAATAAAACTCTTCTGTGGTGAGATGGCAAATACAAAGAAAGAAATAACACTTGCCCTATTTAATGACTCAGCAAATAAATATGTTTGGGGTAAGAAATAAAAAATGAAACATCAGCATCCTTCAAAGGCAGCTGGACCAAGTAGAAATGTTGCATTTTTCCCTACTGTCCATTTTCTGCTCTCGGTCTGCAGTGGTGTCACTGCCAGATGCCAAGAAATGCAAACCGAGAAATCAATCACTCTGTTGTACAGAACTCAGAATTCTCTACCACCCAGTTCAACCTGTCACATGAAGGAACCCACAAACTAAACACCACCACCCGAAATGTGATATTCTGATCATTTCCTTTTTATATAATAACTATTCAGCTAATATTTTATGAGACGAAACCAAAAGAGAATCTGACAAATAAAATAAAGCCTGTTTGAGACTTTATTTATAATAAAATACCTAATATTGCAGGTCAATGAAAAATACAATCTCTTCCAAGCACCAATATATAGAAGAGTGCTGGTTTTGGGGATTTTTGAATAGTAAGTAGGGGCACTCATATTCAGCTGTGAAGGGAAAGGGTCTCTACTAATTAACCTAAGCAAGTTGCATTATGAATAGCTAAAGAACCCCTACTTACCACCTGAAGATTTATGAACTCTAGGAAGCAAAAATAAATTTTAAAAAAGTCACATTATTCTAATGAGATGTTCAACTTATATTACATATGTAAAAGTGATATATTTTTGAGGGCTCTCTTTGCATTTATTTTGTTTCATTTTTACCTAATTGATTCATTGAAAAATAGAGTATTATTATTATGTACTTGCAAAGAGACTGCCTAATTATTAATTTTTCTTTTGTTTGGTTTAATGGAAGCTTATTGCCTTTTATTTCCTACATTTGTGACTGATTTCATACTCCTTTGCATCCTTGCATGATAGACTCCTCTCTTATAAATAGCAAAACATGAAATTACTTGCCTTTGAGTTATGAATGAGCTAATTCTCCTGCACATGGGAAGCATCCCATACTTCGAAGTGAATGAAGAAAAAATACTTACAGAAAGAGGTGTAAGTAATGTAATAACATTTTTGGATCACCCTTATGAAGGCTGAACACAAGGTTTCCATTACTGTGGCCCCTCAGGGCCTAATCACCAGACTTCCAATGGGGTCATTAGAACCATTGAAAGCAATCACGGACAAAAAAGGAGGATATTTTAAGTCATGTCATAATTTTATCTAGAATTATAGAAGACAGAAAAAAGAAGAACTGGGGAGAAATGGAGTGAATTGAAGCAACAAATGAAAGACTGTTGAAGGAAAATTAAAAGAAATGAGAAGAGGAAGAAAGAATGATAGCCATACAGATATGGCCACAGCACAAACACAGAGACATCCATCACTAGGTTCATACACACTGACTGCTGACACTCTTCTCCAGCACTTTACCCCAAGCACCCATTATTCTCTATGTCTACTAAAGAGTAGGTGTCAAAATGATAGGTGCTAGCTCACCATATCAACATGTCCCTATAGCCATGAAGCCCATTATCAACAGAGATAAACCTGGGCCAGGTATAAATTTCTTATCACAATATCGGCAAGGAAGAGTTCAAAATGGTGTTAGATTTAACAGGATTCTATTGTTGCAAGCTCCCTAAAGCAATTGAAAAGCACAAAGATATTCTATGCAGGAGCTGGAATGAAAATATCATTCTTCCAATCTGTTTGGACTGGTGCTATACCAAGTACTGCTTTGAAATCAAATAAAATTATAATTGTAAAGGACTAATTTGTCTTCAGAGTCCTCTTTTCCATTTGGATTTTTTTTTTTTTTTTCTTAAGAAAGTAGAAGGAGCAACTGTAGACACCAGATACCATTTAAGATAGTGGCAAGTGAGGAAGAAGCTCTTTTAGCTGCCTGGAACTGTTCCTACGTACATGGCTGTTTGTTCAGCTGGTCTTCTGCCACTCCATGGAGCATAACACTAATTACAGCTATGAGCTGGAAGAAGGATGCGGAAGAATATGTGGAGACATTTTAATGTTGAAATCAATGGAACTGGTATATAGCTTCTGACAGATATTTCAATCTAAATGAGCCACACTGCTCTAGGAAATATCAAAAAAGAGACAATTTTTGTCGGGTGCAGTGGCTCACGCCTATAATCCCAGCACTTTGGGAGGCCGAGGCAGGTGGATCACCTGAGGTCAGGAGTTTGAGACCAGCCTGGCCAACATGGCGAAACCCTGTCTCTACTAAAAATACAAAATTAGCCAGGTGCGGTTGTGGGCGCCTATAATTCCAGCTACTCAGGAGGCTGGGGGAGGAGAATTGCTTGAACCCAGGAGGTGGAGGTTGCAGTGAGCCAAGATCACACCATTGCACTACTCCAGCCTGGGTGACAGAACGAGACTCAAAAAAAAAAAAAAAAATTCCAATTCTAAATTTCTAAATGGTCACTCACCATTTCTATCTATCACATGCATCTGCAAATACTCTCTATGTGTTTTTATCTATTGCCCAAATCCAAGCTTTGTTCTGCCAGGACTCTAAATGGAAATGTTATTCTGCATCTTTCTAAAATAACGGCATATGCCATTCAACCCAGTAATCTGGTCAGAGTAAACTTATCGTGCCTGCTGGAACTGTGTTAATTTGCTGGGGATAAAGCCCAATTTAGCAGCAGCCATGGGACTGATGAACTCGGCATTGCTTGTATACTTGTACATGGTGCCTAGGTCTGATTTCTTGGCATCTGCGTCACATAATCTTCCCTTTGTTTTACAATTGTGTAAAGATCATTTCTAAGAATCATGTTTCTATGAAACATAGGTTCCAATTTCTGGTTGGGTCCTGTTGGAAGGCAAGTTATTTAACAAACCCATGTTGATATTGTCTATGTCTAATCAGTTTTTTTCCTGCAGAATTTAACATTTAGGTTAATATATATTTATTTCCCTCCAATAATTGAACAATTAAACTGACAATGTTATTTGTTTATTGAGATTAACCAGTACCGTTCCAAATAGGCTAAACTGGAGGACGATGAATGACCCTCAACATAACTACGTAGCCAAAATAAAAGATACTTTGTTTATTGTATTTCTTACACTGGGGCCTGTGGTGGGGTGGGGGGAGAGGGGAGGGATAGCATTAGGAGATATACCTAATGTAAATGACGAGTTAATGGGTGCAGCACACCAACATGGCACAGGTATACATATGTAACAATCCTGCACGTTGTGCACATGTACCCTAGAACTTAAAGTATAATAAAAAATAAATAAATAAAATAAAATAAAATAAAAAATTAGCTGGGCATGGTGGCCCGCGCCTGTAATCCCAGCTACTCGGGAGGCTGAGGCAGAAGAATTGTTGGAAACCTGGAGGCAGAGGTTGCAAATAATAATAATAATAATAATAATAATAATAATAATAATTATAAAAGTAGAATGAATAGCGTAAAAGATACACTGCTGGCCTCGAGAGTCTTACATTTGTAAAAGCACTGAAAGTAAATTATAGCAAGAATGCAAAGTCATAGATTGCAGCCATGTTGTCTAGAGTTGTTAGCCCTCCCATTCCATTCTCCTGTATTCTTGATATCTACAATCCAAGTAAAAACACATTGTTCCCTTATATCTGGTCATTGCTCTCAACGTCATCAATCGATATCAGTCATTTTATTATGTTAAACATTTCAGGTATGGGTCATTCCTTTTTCATTCTATTTAGCCCGTCACCCAGACTGGAGTGCCGTGGCGTGATTTCAGCTCACTGCAACCTCTGCCTCCTGGGTTCAAGTGATTCTCCTGCCTCAACCTCTCAAGTAGCTGTGATTACAGGCATGCACCAACACACTGGGCTAATTTTTATATTTTTTATAGAGACGGGGTGTCACCATGTTGGCCAGGCTAGTCTCAAACTCCTGACCTCAAGTGATCCACCCACCTCGGCCTCCCAAAGTGCTGGAATTACAGGCATGAGCCACCGCACTCAGCAGATAAACTTTGTAATCAATTGTTTGGTCAGGGGCAGAGGAAGGGAGAAAGCATTCTATTTATAACAAGCAATGTATTCAGCTGGACTCAGTATTAACTAATTCTGATAAAACTTAGGGGGTTGGAAGTGAAAAGCTGGAAGAAAAGAAAAGGGGGTTGAGGATAGCTTACTGATGCCCCAGTGAAACAGCTCTAGCTATCACAGTTTATTAAATACATGCATGCATTATGGTTTATCTTAGAGGTGAAGAGAGTAAACGGCTCCTTTCCCAGAATGTTGTTACCACTTTCAGCCCCAATGATTTCATTTAACATATTACTTCTTCAAAGTAATATCTCTGTACTCGAATTACCCTTCAGAGAAAAATCACCCTGCCTTCATCATAGCTAACAGCTTTAATCACATACACACAGGTGATTCCTCTTCCTCACTCATATTTAAAGGACTAGAGTTTGCATGATATTCTTTTCTATATTCTACAATAGTCCAAATACATGTGAAAATCACTACCATTTATTGAGCAACTACTACTGCACAGATTGTTCACACATTATCTTAATCTTCATAAAAAGTTATGCCTCCATTTTATAAATGAGGACACTGAGGTTCAAAAAGATTAGGTAAATTCGCTAAGGTCACACTACTTGATAAGAGCATAGCCTAATTAATGTTTCTCCCACCCTTTTAATTTCTTGCCTCCTATGTTTACCTAAGAAAAATAATTTAGCCATACTCAGATTGTTTATCTGAAATCTTTGTGACCATTTTTAAAGAATAAATAAATAAATAAAAACTCCATGAGCTATTTTACCTCCAAAGCTTGCTCGGCCACGTCTTAAGGCACGAGCTATTACTGAGCATTCATCTTTCAGCATAACCTGCAAAAAGTCAGTCTGAGGGCCAAGGTTACACTTTCACCTCTTTAACATTGGCACATAGTAGATGCTTAATAAATGTGTATAGAATGAATAGATATTGGAATAACTTTCCATGATAAGAAAAAGAGCAATGCTCTGTAAATATTACAAATGGCTGGGCACAGTGGCTCACGCCTGTAATCCTAGCACTTTGGGAGGCCAAGGTAGGCGGACCACCTGAGGTCAGGAGTTCAAGACCACTACTAACTCTCCTGACCCTCTGCCTTATCCTCATATCCTTAAAGATGTGACTTAAAAGAGAAAAAATTATGTTGTTAATTTCATCAACTAGGGCAAAGGGGAAAAATGTTCATTTTGATGCAGGAAGTTAATGGGAGTTGGGAGGAAGCTACGGTTACAATTCCCGTAATACATTAATGTATATTTAATATACCACCTTGATTTGTGGCCTCAAGTTAAATAACTACATATGTTTGCAGCATAATTCTTTTCATAATTGTGTAGCCTCAATGGGATAACATTTGTATTAGTTTCCATAATCGAAAATGTCAAATGCCTGTTTCCACCTTCCAAGTATTTTCGTTTTAGGTAGCAAAGACAATTCTTTCAATGCGTATCTGTTCTCATTAAGTTCTGATTGCTTTATAAAGAAATAAAGTCTTTTCCCATTGTTCTGCTCTGTGGAAGTCACCTTCAGAGTAATAGTGGGGGTGACTGTCCTTGCCAATTTTTAAGTAACTGGCTTGCAAGGGTGATTCCCTACAGAGTTATTGCTCTGCTCAACATGGTGAAACCCCATGTCTACTAAAAATACAAAAATTAGCCAGGTGTGGTGGCACACACCGGTAATCCCAGCTACTTGGGAGGCTGAGGCAGGAGAATCACTTGAACCTTGGAGGAAGAGGTTGCAGTGAGCCAAGATCACGCCACTGTACTCCAGCCTGGGCGACAGAGCAAGACTCTGTCTCCAAAAAAAAAAAAAAAAAGACTAAATGTTACGGATGTTTGCTCTGATAAAGAGTAACTCCAATGAAATTAATATAGGACAGAATAGAAAAACCTACATTATATGTAGAAATCTAGACCTCAACAGGAAGCCAGCCCATACACTGTACTATAATGCTAATTATTAGAGCAAATGACTACTCTAAAATGCGTTGCATCTACTTTCCCACATTCTGTACCCAGAGGGAAACTATGCAGAAAATAACTCTGTAGGGAATCACCCTTGCAAGGCAGTTACTTAAAAATTGGCAAGGACAGTCACCCCCACCCTTACTCTGAAGGTGACTTCCACAGAGCAGAACAATGGGAAAAGACTTTATTTCTTTATAAAGCAATCAGAACTTAATGAGAACAGATACGCATTGAAAGAATTGTCTTTGCTACCTAAAACCAAAATACTTGGAAGGTGGAAACAGGCATTTGACATTTTCGATTATGGAAACTAATACAAATGTTATCCCATTGAGGCTACACAATTATGAAAAGAATTATGCTGCAAACATATGTAGTTATTTAACTTGAGGCCACAAATCAAGGTGGTATATTAAATATACATTAATGTATTATGGGAATTGTAACCGTAGCTTCCTCCCATCTCCCATTAACTTCCTGCATCGAAATGAACATTTTTCCCCTTTGCCCTAGTTGATGAAATTAACAACATAATTTTTTCTCTTTTAAGTCACATCTTTAAGGGTATGAGGATAAGGCAGAGGGTCAGGAGAGTTAGTAGTGGTTTGGCCTTTCTAAGGATGTGACGGTCAAACAGTTCCTCAAGGAGAATAGGGGGAGGGCTTTGGGAGGAGGCTAATTAAAATAACCTTAGCAGAAACACTCTGACACCAAACACGCCCCACAGGTACCACCACTTCTTTTAGGACACTTTCTTTCTTTCTTTCTTTCTTTCTTTCTTTCTTTCTTTCTTTCTTTCTTTCTTTCTTTCTCTTTCTTTCTTTCTTTCTTTCTCTCTTTCTTTCTTTTTTTTTTTTTTTGAGACAGAGTCAGGCTGGAGTGCAGTAGTGCGATCTCTGCTCACTGTAAGCTCCGCCTCCCAGGTTCACACCATTCTCCCGCCTCAGCCTCCGGAGCAGCTGGGACTACAGGCGCCCGCCACCATGCCTGGCTGATTTTGTTTCTGTATTTTTAGTAGAGACGGGGTTTCACCATGTTAGCCAGGATAGTCTTGATCTCCTGACCGCGTGATCGGCTCGCCTCTGCCTCCCAAAGTCCCGAAGTGCTGGGATTACAGGCGTGAGCCACCATGCCCGGCCAGGACACTTTCTTTTGATAGTCTTTGGCTCTGTGTACTCAACCTAATTTGAACATTCAGGGACAACATTGCCCATTATTTTGGTTTTGGTGTAATCTGAAGGAAATACCAAGGCTTAGCCTGCAGGAGATAAAAAGACTAGGATTCACCACCCAGGAGCCTGTGCTCAGTTTAGGAATAACTCACGTGCTGTGTGTAGTAGATGCCACAAGAGTGATTACACAGTCTCCTGTGTATCTGAGACCTGAGCAAACACTTCCAAACCAAGGTGCAAACTAACTTGAAAGCCCACTGCTTGATGTTACTAACCTCCAGCCCTTCCTAGTGTGGGAGCTATGTTCCTATGCTGACTGAGCAAAAGAAGGAGCAAGGAACAGAGGAAAGGGGAAGAAATTCCACCAAAATCACATGCACATAAACAATTCAAACAGGAAAATCCTAAAGCACAGAAGTTAAAAACATGACGTGTCAATTCTATGAGTGGCATTCATATCTATAGTGACATATTGGGGTGAAACGGCCATTTCTTCTTTTCTGAATCCTTCTAAAGGTATGTATATATATATCAGTTTATTTTATTTTTCTTAAATCCTGGAAATAAAGGAAGAGCAGTTCTCAGAAATATCAAGCTGAGAAAATTGGACCTCATCTAATGGCTTTGGGGAAGAGTGCTTTGAAGAGTCTTGATAGTCTTATTGCCTGCCCTTCTGGAAGAAGCCCTTAAGTGGGTCACCTGGAAGTCAACGGTAAATACTCAAAGGAGTGTGTGTTTTCCCAGGAAGTGAAACTTTCAGTGCTTAAATTGGAACAGTCCCAGAAAACTTAAATGATTGGCCACCCTGAGACTGACCAAACCAAACCGAAATCAAATGGCATTAGCTGATAATAATGTTGGTTTGCTTTGCTTTGTTAAAGGAATAGAAGTTAATTTTTTTTATTTTTTTAAAAAAGAAGTTTATAATAAATTATGAATACTGTGAAAATAGACTTACTCATATTTTAATTCACTACTTTTACTTGGTCATTTGTTACACAGAAAGAAAATAATGATGGAGGGCATAGATCACATGGTTTTCTGTTGAAATGTCTCTTGTATTACTTCATACAAATATTTATAATATCCCATTCATAGTGTTCCCCATAAGTTACAAACTCCATTAGAATCAGCCATATTAAATATCACAGCCACATGCAATTAGGGATTAACACATTTTATATCTTTCAACACATTCATTTATCAAATTGAACATATCAGGCTGGGCTCAGTGGCTCACGTCTCTAATCCCAGCACTTTGGGAGGACGAGGTGGGCAGATCACTTGAGGTGAGGAGTTCGAGACCAGCCTCGCCACAAAGTGAAACTCTGCCTCTACTAAAAATACAAAAATTAGCTAGGCCTGGTGGCACCCACCTGTAGTCTCAGCTACTCCAGAAGCTGAGGCAGCAGAATCACTTGAACCCCAGGAGGCTTAGGTTGCAGTGATCCAAGATCGCATCACTGCACTTCAGCCTGGGCAACAGAGCCAGACTCCATTTCAAAAAAAAGAAAAAAAAGTAAATTGAACATATCAGCAGGAGCTTTAGTTAAATGGGGAGGCAGTGGGGCGGGAGGTGAAGGTAGAATAGACTATCACAATAGGCACTGTATAACCCAACAACCAGAAACTGCTTTATGCATAAGACACATAGTAAAAGAGATGCTAGTAAATTTGTTCCTATTAATAGTGTTTTACCTTCTGCAATTATCTTTAAATGTGGTGAGACTGTGGATGAATTTGAAACATAAACACTCTTTTGAACACGATTTCAGAGGCACAAGGATGCAGCATGAAGACATGACACCAATGGCTAAACCAGGAGCTGGGAGAAAGTTGTGCATTCCAGGAAAAGCAAGAGTTTAAGGACAACACAGCAGGCGGCATTAAAAAACAGTCACAATCAGGCTCTTGGAGTTCCCATAATGAGGAGCTATGCCTGCATAAATAACACACCCCCACACATACTCCAAACAAAAGACAGCAAGAGAAACTAAGTGTTAAGGCGACCTTTTTCTTGAAACAGTAGGAGGCAGCAAAGAAGGCTAGTTTTAATCAGGCCACCTGGTTTTACATTAGGATAATTTAACAAAAAGAATAGATTTCACCTAATTTAGTCTTTTAAAAGACATTCTTCTCTATTGTTAGACTACTTTGCTATGGAAAAAAAATACAAAACTAATTTTGATTAATAGGAGGAAAAATATTAGCAGAACACTTCGCAAATAATACTCTAATAATTATTGAATTTCATTTTCCCTATTCTAATTGAGACTTCATATTATATAACACATATAAATTATATCATATATAAAGGAAAATACTTTTATTTACACTACAATCTTTGACCTCTAGGGTTTCTTTACTCAGATTTGTGTGGGAGATTTTAGCTGCCGTGAAAGTTTCTAACTAGTCAAGAGATGAAATAGAAAAGATATGTTTGAGGTTGAGATAGGATCAGCTAAGTCTTGACTGAACAGAACAGAAAAGATGAAAGGGCAGAAGATACCAAAGAATTTAAAAGTAAAATAACAATATCATAAATAGAAGCCAAGAAAATCATTAATATTTATTGTTTATTTTGTCTTTGGCACTATGGTTAAAAAGAAACTTTCAATAAAAGCTGTAAGAATAAAAATAACCATAGTGGATAATTATTGAATGCTATAGTGACCAACTGTCATCCCACTTTGACCAGACAGAGGGGTCTCACAAAATGGAGAACTCTCAATGCTAAAATTTACAGACTTGCTTGGAGTTGCTGCAAGGGTAAAATAGGTTAATAAACACAAAATGCGGAGCCGAGGAACAATTTTGAGCTTTATAATCCCTGCTCCTGAGTTTACTTTGTGTCTACTCTAACTAGGGTTACAATTAGGATCATAACTAGGCATAGGGTAACATGGCATGCAGTGGAAAAGAAGTGAATTGGGGGAGTTGGGAGATGTGAAGAAGAGTTGGAGGGACAGAGGAAGGAGGGAAGGAAGGGGGTGGGGGACAGAAAAGCCCAGGAATAGGAGGAGTAGCAGCATTTCATCTACCAATATGGCACAGCAGACTGATTCCTTATCATTAACTATTGATGACTTATTCATAATCAGTACTAAGACCAAACAAATCTAGATTAATATTTTCCTTTTTGCTAATAACCAAATCTTGTCACCCCCCTTTGGCAAATAATCTGATTTAAAATTTTAAGCAACATTGTTAAAAAACCATCCAAAAAATATGCATCTATGCTGACTGACCTAACTCCGCAAGTCGAATTATCATAAACCAACAACAATTATCTATACCTCGGACACGACCTATACTTGGGAAGCAAAAGCCAAATATCACCATTCATCTCTCACAATCCTCATATGTCAGCATCTACTTTAGTGTTATATACAGCTCTGGCACTTAGCAAAATGTTCTTTGGAGACACAACACAATTTGTTTTGTTACATTATTTCTAAACCAATAAGTGAGGGCATTTTGGAGTGATTTGAAAACAAAAATGAACTGGTGTTAAATTATAGATATCCTTCCGGTATTTTAACAACCCAGGTTTGCACTTTACCCTTTTCCACATACATTTTTAAATGGTAATAGGAATGATATTGTGAGAATGGCTACCATTTCTTGAATACCTTCTGTGTAACAAGCACTGGGAGACAAAGACAGGCACATCTGAATGTACATGCATACAGGCATGTGAAATGTGAGTGGAACAGGAGGTACTATTGCACAAAAGGCTGGATAAAGGATTAGAAAGAATCTTTGCTGTGGTCAAGTAACTCCTCAGGTTTCATGGACTAAAAATTCATGAAAATAGTCACCTAATTTTTTTAAAAAATGTTTATTTTTTGGTGATACATTTATAGTGTTTTGGAAAATTAACATTTTTACAGACACCAGTTGTCTAACTCTTTTTATTTACTGAATGCTGAGTATCATTGATACCATATTTTTAAAACGCAGTGTTTACTAGTGTATTTTAGGTTTCTGAAACACTCCATTTTATAGTTTGTTCCTTTGAAGAAACCTCATCACAAGTCATTTCACGCAAAGGGACTTCTATTATTTATGTTGCATCTCATTAAGGTTTTACTTCCATCTTTTAAATTTCCTCCTGAGATTAAACATTTGACTTTTATGAAGCCACTAAAAGAACAAGAATGTGTCACTTTCACTTAGGGTCGGAAAACATTATAATCTTGCAATTTAATCAGCCTGAGTGTTGACAAAAGATGTCGTAGCTGTTATAGAAACCAGCCCTACTGAAAGTTAGCATACTGAAAAGTCTTTGAAAACATGTCAGATTTGCCCATTGCCTTATCCGAGTTGATGACCAAATTTACTCCCTAATTATAAATGTGTGGTCCTCATACATGAGTAATAGAAGATTCTGAAAGGTAAATGAATCAAATAAAGGTCACTCTGAACAACAGTAATACAAGTGACTAAAGACGCCGGACCATAGGAAAAAATGGTGAGCAAAGTTGCTCATGATACCCAAGTGTCAATCACAAGAACTTCTAAGCGTTAAATGAGAAAATGTATGCAAAGCACCCAGCAATATGTCAGGCATATAGTAGTTGTCCAAGAATCAGTGGCTTTCATCATCATACTTATTAGTAACAGCAATATTTCATAGCCTGTTGGATAGAACACTGAGCCTCATGTTCTAAAACAGTTTAAAATATTACACTTCATTTTTTTCGTTTTTATTTATGATACATGATGCAGCTTCTTTAAAAACCTTGATTCCTAAAGTTCAAATGCAAAAGCAAACAAAGTTTACTGTACAGGACCATTGTGAAGATAGGAAAGGCAGGGTGACAGAAATGAAGGGGGAGAAAAGGAAGGCAAGAGGAAGCTCAGCATATATCTTCCCCTTAATACATACTCATTATATGTTCATTAAAAAGAAAAAGGAATATAATTTTCCATATTCAGAATAGTTTCCAGAAACATATAATTTGTGGACTTCCAATTATTTTAAGAACAGCCTATATCAAGAGTTGATCAAAAGTGCTTAACCTGCTAGGAATGTTCTTCCAAGAAAAAAAAATTATATTGAATGAATTTTCAGAAAGTGAGATTATTAGAATATATTATTTAAATTAGTATTGAAATATTTGATTCCAAATATTGCATAACATAGAGAAAAAATAGCTACTTTTACTTACTACTTACCAAAAAACAACATTGTTAAATGTTTTACATGCATCCTTTCAATTAACCTTTACAACAATCCTTTTAAGGTATGTCATGCTATCCCCACTTTAAGGTGACAAAACCAAGTTTAATAAGTGATGGTGTTGGAAGCTGAATAAACATTTTGATTTCAGAGGAAGTTTACAAGTTAAATACGTAGACTCTGAAATCAAATTGTCTGAATCCAAATTTTGAGCTTCTGAACTGGGGTAAATTGTTAACTGCACTCTCATCCTTAGTTACTTCATTTGTAAAATGGAAAAAAAGAGTAGGGTCCACTTCAAAGGATTGTTTTTACATCTATGCAGAGCACTTAGAAGAGTTCATGGATCAGAGTTAGCATCAGACATATCTTAGCTGTTATTATTATTGGTCTAGCTCTGAAATCTTGGCTTCTAACACCAATTAATTTTTATTCTGTTTTAAAACTTCTTTCCAGAAGACAAACATTCTTTGGCCATTGTATAACCAAGTAAAGGGAGTAGAATTCTTTTAACATGAGCTTCTCAAATCCATATAATGCCTCCACATACTATATAATGCTTCCACACACATTATCTCAATTGATCCGGATTCTGCTGACAGCTGTGCAACTATGAGAACCAGTAAGGCCTTGGTTCTGGAATCTCAAGTTCGAGATTCTATAAGCTTTATCCTAATAGAAGAAGATCCTAGGGTTTATTCTTCAGTTCTGTCTAACAGAACACAAAATAACTGGATGAAAGAACATAACATTTAGCTACACAACCAGATGTTTCAGTCAGTGTGAGGCCAAACATCTGGATGATTAGCCAGACGCTGCATTTTTTTTTTACCCTGACATTGGGCAATGTGTCAAATATGATTGATGTGAAACAGAAGAAAGGAAAGCATGCAGAAGGAGCTGTTAACAAGAGAAATACTTTGCTAAATAAAAGATGGCATGGACTTTGCTATCATCACCTGCTCCAGCAATTTATTTGCAACCAACATCAATAGCCCTACTGGGGAATGCAATCTTGCTTAACTTGTTCTACCATTTTGACACTTCTAACTCAGAAATGTAATTTAAAATAAAGATTCATGGAGCTAATATCCTTCTTGCTTCAGACTTTTAAAGCGCCTATTGTTCTCATAGCTTGGAGGGGGGTGAAAGTCTGCATGCATAAATGAACACATAGATGATATACTGTTTGATATAAATACTGCCCAGCTTTTAGTGAGACACCAATGCCTTTAGAATACAAAGTTAAAATATGCACTCTGCATGAAATGCTTTATGATTAAAAGAAGTCATGATGGGTGCTTTTACTATAACCTTAGATAAACTGTGATTTCTGCAGGGAGATGATAATAGAACTGATCACACCATCAGTTATCACGTTATTAAAGCTATAGCTAGTGAGCCCTTGCTCTGTTCCAGACATTTTGCTACTTGTGTATATAATATTAACACTGTGAGGTAGGTGCTCTTAATAGCCTCCTTTTGTAGATTAGGAAACTGAGGCTGATAGTTATTAAGTGACTTGCTCATTGTCATATCTACCGTGACTGTGTATTTCCAATTGGCAGCTTATAAAAAGGTTCAATAAAGGGCCAAGTATACACATATGTTGAAAAGGAGTTGCATTTAATGTGAAAGAATCATAGAATTTTGAATCTGGAAGAGATCTTTAGACAGTAGTTAACCCAATCCTGGCATTTATAGATGATAAAATGAAGACTCCTGCGGTCATGATTTGTCCAAGATTATACATTCCACCAGAAAAAGAATGAGAAATTCCCACCATGAGTATCATTTCTTTCTGCCAGCACATTATTTCATAAACATCCAGTTAAATGCAAATATCCTCTCTGGAAGGGATTTATTATAACCTTCGTTACATTATCAGAGATTAGTTGGTCAGACAGACCAGGCAAGAAGGATTTGACGGAGAAATCTGATACTTTGGAGGCTGCAGAGACCATTAGTTGAAAGTTTGAAAGTATCAGCTTTTCTGCCAGTTCTGGGTTGGAGTCCTGCCTCTAGCATATACTGCTATGTGTCTCTGGGGAAGTCATTTAACCGCTTCAAGCCTCAGTTTCTTCTTCTGTAAATTGAGGATTATAATAGCATTAATGTCAAAGTTGATATAAGCACAACATTTATAAAAAGTTTTGTGTAGCATATGGTGTCTTATAAGCAGTTAACACTCAATCTCATAACTGCTCCTGGAGAGGAAGGCCTAGAAGGAGTTCTGGGTTGCAGTAGGACTGCATAAAAGGCCTGAAATGGCTTGGAGGATTATGGATTCAGAGAAAGGTGCCACTGACCTAACCATGTAGCTCAGAGATGGCCCCGATTTTAAACTCTAATACCTTACTCCTTATCAATACTTAATCGGCTTCATATCCATAGGAATCAAGAAAATGGGCTTTTGATTGTCATCACTAAAAAAAACCTATGAAAACAAAACACACACCCTTTCCTCCAATGTGTGCCAAAGGCTGATTTGTTCTATGCCACACACACTCCCGAACAGAGGGATGCAGAAGAGAGAGTTTATGGACTTCAATATAAAATGATAAGCCTGATAAATCACCTTTGGTCCAAGTGTAAGCTAGTCCAGGATAAATCTCTATGATGCATTCACATTGTCATTTGATAATTCCAACACCAGAGTCCCACAGTAGAGTAGACACTACATGACTCAATTCTCTACAAATTTTAGTTCCTCACCCTTGGCTTACTTAACATTCAGAATCAGGCTTAACAAAGTCTGTGCCTTGTTCTTGTTAATACAATGAAAGTATGAAAGTTGGGTTCCTTTATTAAAGATACATATGGAAATCAATTCTCTCAATCAGAGCATACTTGAATGTTTGATTATAAAATGCTTTGATAGTACCCAGCTTAGGCTCTGAATTTCTTTGGATTCCACATTCTGACGTTCCATGAAAATAGTTAATGCAACTCTTATAGATTATAGTATTCCAGTGTTTGGGGAAGCTTTCATATAATATGTTTAATTTTAATATGAAATGCTAGTCATAAATTATGGGCTGTATTAGTTTGCTAGTGATGCTGTAACAAACTACCACAAATGCTATGGTTTAAACAACAGAAACTTATTGCCACCCAGTTCTAGAGGCCAGAAGTCCAAAATCAAGGTGTTGGCAAAATTGGTTCCTTCTAAGAGCTGCTCTAGGCCTCTCTCCTTGGTTTGCCTATGGCATCTTCTCCCTGTGTCTCTTTGCATAATCTTCTTTCTATGTATGTCTGTATCAAAATTTCCTCTTATAAGGACACTAGTCCTATCAGATTAGGGCCCACACTGATGACTTGATGTTAACTTGATTACCTCTGTTAAGACTGTTTCCAAACAGGTAACAGAGGTTAGGACTTCAACATACTATATACAATTTTTGAGGTACTAGAGGTTTTAAGGTTTTTAGGTACTAGAGGTTAGGACATCAACATATTATGTATAATATTGTCTGTGTGTGTGTGTGTGTGTGTGTGTGTGTGTGTGTGTGTGTGTATTTTTTTTTCCCGGGGAGGACGGAGGTGAGATACACAATTCAACCCATAACATGGGCTTTCAGAATAAAAAACCTAGAGGTATTTGCTCTCCTTTCTTTTTACTTTTCTTTCTCTTCTTTTTTTCTCCTTAATGTCTAGTTCGTTTTCTGGAAATGGGTTCATTTCCTCCTGCTTTCTGCTTACACAGGTACTCCCCTCTATGGTGGTCACTAAAATTCTATCAATAATTAAATAGATTTTTTTTAAAGATTCCGGAGACCTTACAAAAGTAAGGTCTCTGTAAAATTTCTGTAAAATTTGAATTTTTTAGCATGTCCACTTGGACATGGACACCTCTAGTTTGCTGGAGAACTTGTAGCGTAGGAATTGAAATCTGGCACAAACTAACTGCTGAAGAGGATGTATATTTAGAAAAGTTCTATGTGTACTATGCACTAGGAAATCCATAAAGCAATTTACTCCTTTCACTTTCATGGCAATCCATGCTAATTTAGGTAATGATAATTAATGATTTGCCACATCAAACAGTAGAAATAAATCCATAAAAAGTGACTTTATTGATCAACCATTTTCAATTAAATTAAAGGCAGCATTAAGCAACTCCATCAAGGGAGTTATAAAAGAACATTCTCTCCTAAGGTTCTATGATAAAGGAGTGGAGAAATCGCCCTATGAAATGTGATGGACTACGTAGTGGAGCTAGGTGCAAAAATCTGCAGTAATTGATCATGCAGAAGTTTAAGCAATTCTATATACTTCTTGGTACAAACCCAAAAGTTACAATCACTTCCCAGTGATAACACTAATCCCAGCTCATTTCCATATTGTGGCGACTGCCCTACTCTAAGTGACAAATTAAGAAGATTAGGCCGGGCGCGGTGGCTTACGCCTGTAATCCCAGCACTTTGGGAGGCCGAGGTGGGCGGATCACGAGGTCAGGAGATCCAGACCATCCTGGCTAACACAGTGAAACCCTGTCTCTACTAAAAAATACAAAAAAATTAGCCAGGAGTGGTGGCGGGCGCCTGTAGTCCCAGCTACTCAGGAGGCTGAGGCAGGAAAATGGCGTGAACCCGGGAGGCGGAGCTTGCAGTGGGCAGAGATCGCGCCACTGCACTCCAGCCTGGGCGACAGAGCGAGACTCTGTCTCAAAAAAAAAAAAAAAGAGAGAAGATTAACTATAAAACTAACTACCAAAAAATTTATCTAATTTTTAAAATTTCAGCTCTCTGTTACCTACTCTATATCTAAATTAAAGTAAAATACCTGTCTGTGCTTTAACTGGTAATAAAACATTAGGGAGAAAAGGCCTACTTACATCATATAGTTGAATAAGCGTCAACTAAATAATTAAAAATCCAAGACTGCATTTTCTCATGGATGGGTAATTTCAATATACTGGAAAAAAACTTGTGGCTCTGTTAACAATGATGGAAATACTGCGGTAAATACCCTCTTGGCAGGATGCTGGCATTTGAAGGATTAATGGAAAAAGGAAGCACAAAGGTTATGTAAAGCTTAAAAAGCCATGAAAGAAGAAAAATCTAATTAGAAAATTATATATAAGGGTTTAATTCAAATTATATGCCTAGAAATGAGTTAGGACTTGAGTGAGAAAAATGTCATCGTCACTTCGCTCTCAAAAGTGATTTGCGAACAGTCTTAACTTAGGAGAAAAGGGCCAAGAATGCTTTCCACATATTTCTAAAACTTTTAGAGGTAGATGTCATATTTTTAGTGTGTATGAGTTCATCACCTTTTCCTATCAGCATTTCTGTGTCAATACCAAGACGGTTTCACCTGCTACTGAAAAGGGAAATGTTGGCCAGGTGCGGTGGCTCACGCCTGTAATCCCAGCACTTTGGGAGGCCAAGGCATGTGGATCACAAGGTCAGGAGATCCAGACCATCCTGGATAACATGATGAAACCCCATCTCTACTAAAAATACAAAAAATTAGCCAGGGGTGGTGGCACGTGCCTATAGTCCCAGCTACTCAGGAGGCTGAAGCAGGAGAATCGCTTGAACCCAGGAGGCGGAGGTAGTAGTGAGCCGAGATCACGCCACTGCACTCCAGCCTGGGTGACAGAGCGAGACTCTGTTTCAAAAAAAAAAAAAGGAAAACGTTGCCTCATTCTAAAAATCATTTCAGATAATTACTGAAAACTCTATGAAAGTGGCACTGAATAATCACTTTATCAGGCAGTTTAATGAGATCTTTCTGAAACTAGATCAAGTTAATACTTTGTCAAGACATTAAGTATTATTTCTAGTTTTTATTTAATTTTTAAAAATTTCTCCAAATTAAAAAAAAACCTTCTCTCAGAAAATTAAAGAAAAATAATTACAGAGAGTTTGAGTTATTTTTTAATTTCAAAGAAATTTATTCTGTATTTTCTTATCAGAATACAGATAAGGGTGGGGGGACAAGCATGGCCACGCTCCCCTTGCCTCTCAGAGCCCATTCAAATATTATTTAACCTCAAGAGTTTTGCTCCAACTCACGTAATGCCTCAAAATGTTCACCAAATAATCAAAGCCTGAATGTTTTTACATTTATCTAAAATCTTGTGGCATTTTCAGTGTATTAATTTGGTGCCATCTTCTGTTATTGAGAGCCTACGAGGTGCTATTTTAAGACATTGAGCCTGGGGTGATAAACAAGACAGAAACACAGACCTCATGAACTTGAAGTTGGGGAAGACATAGTATCCATGTAAATAAGTTAACAAATAAGATCTTTTTGGATGGGGCAATCAAGCTAAATCTCTTCACTGAGGCGAGATGTAAGTGAACCCTGGATAACGAGGAGTGATACACCTAAGCATACAGGAAAAACACATTTCACACAGAAACAATGGCAAGTTCCAAGACATCTTCAAAGAACAGGAAAGTTAATGTGATCAGAGGGTAGTGACCTTAGGGGCAGAGGGGTAGCACACAAGATCTGAGATTTTAGCAGTGATCATGTAAAGATTTCCAGGCAGTAAGAAAGAGTTAGGATTTTTAAGTGCACTGGGACATCAATGAATGGTCTTTTTTTTGGCAAGATCATTTTATGATGTGCTCATATCTTGTCTTATCTCACCTTATCTTATCTTACCTTGCCTTATCTTATTTTTTGAGACAGAGTTTCACTCTTGTTACCCAGGCTGGAGTGCAACAGCATGATCTCTGCTCACTGCAACCTCCACCTCCCGCGTTCAGGTGATTCTCCTGCCTCAGCCTCCTGAGTAGCTGGGATTACAGGTGCCACCACCACATCCAGCTAATTTTTTTGTATTTTTAGCAGAGATGGGGTTTCACTATGTTGGTCAGGCTGACCTGGGACTCCTGACCTCAGGTAATCCACCCTCCTCTGCCTCTCAAAGTGCTGGGATTATAGGCGTGAGCCACTGTGCCCAGCCGCTGTGTTTTACATTCTAAATAATAACTCTGGTTGCCATAGGTAGGATAAACCAGTACAAGGAAAAAAACTGAAGCAAGAAGATCATTTAGGGGAATATAGTTGTGGTTTAGGTGAGAAACGATGGTGGCCTAATGTAGGTTGATAGAGGCAGAATCAGAGACCTGAGATTTATTTTGGAGGCCAAGCAGACATATCTTGTGTGTTCGGCCATTTTTGTGGTGCCATAAAGAAATACTTGAGGTTGGATAATTTATAAAGAAAATAGGTTTAACTGATTCATGGATCTGCAGGACGTACAGGAAGCATGTGCCAACATTTGCTCAGCTTCTGGTGAGGCCTTAGAAAACTTTCAATCATGGCAGAAGGTAAAGGGGGGTATCATAAGGTGACAGCAGGAACAAAGAAAGCAAAGGAGGGAGGTGCCACACACTTTTAAACAACCAAGTCTCATGTGGACTCAGAGGGAGAATTCACTTATTACCAAAGGGAGGGTGCTAAACCATTCATGAGAGACTTGCTCCCATGACCCAATCACCTCCTGCCAGGCTGCATCGCCAACACTGGGGATTCTATTTCAACATGAGATTTGGAGAGGACAAGTACCCAAACTATATCATCCTGCTAAGACATGGCATTGTGAATCTAATTCTTATTAGTCTGGCTTTTCTCAAAACCTCATCATAAACACCCCGAGGACAGGAGCTGTGTCAGAGGTTTCTGGTGACCCCACATTACACAGTCTGGTGCTGAGGACAGAATCGGTGTAATATCAATTTCCCTTACCCACCTAAAGCAAGTAATTTAACCCATGGCTGCTCCCTTAATGTCAAAGTGATGATAAATCTTATATGGCTTTTGTATCTGAATTTCTTCTCTAAAAATATTTGAAACACGAAAGGGTGTTCAATCTCTACCAAGCCAAAACTACACTAGTTTGCTTTAAATGCTCAGTGCCACAGAGACCACAAGGCAAATATTTTGAGTAATTTTCTGGGTAGTTGGAACGTGCAAATACCCAAAAAAAGAATTTAATAAAACAAACAAAAAATGCAGTTAAACTGGAGATGTTTTCTTGTTCTTCGTGAATAGAGGACATATGTTAGAAAGAATTACAAGAGCATATTGGATGAAGCCCGTGAGAATCTGCTTCTTACAGTTGATATTCAGAATAAGATATAATCACATAGTTCACTCCTTTTATAACATAAAGAGTCCATGATATTTCCCTCTGAGCCATAAAAATCTTAGCACAGATTGAATTCTGGAACTTAGGTGACTTACATATTCTGTAAGAGTTTCTTTCACCATTTTGCCAAAGATTCTCCTGATATACTTTGTGTTACAAAGAGTTATATTGTCAACTTTTTAGTAAGAGGAATATTTCAGTTTCAAAAGAGAAATTTTCCAGATGCATTTCACATTAATTTTTTTTGAGTCATAGCTTATTTTTTAAATCTGAATCTGTTTCTTATTTTTACACATCTAAAAACATGATACATTTAGGAATAAAAAAGTCAATGTATAATTGTTTTAATTAGTTTCAGATCTATAACCATGGCATAAAATTTAATGTAATGAATAAATGTAAAAGAAAAAGATATTTTAATCTATTATGTTAGTTCTTTCATGTAAACCATTTTGGCAGTATCTTTAATCGATTAAGGGAATTTAATAGTGTTTGAAAAGTTCTACATTTCCTATGTGACAACAGACTCAAATGGTTTGGTAACACATTAAAGCACATTGAGCATATTAAATATATGGATCTTATTAACCAAACAGAGAGGCAGAGGCTAATTGGAGAGAGAAAGAGTCTGCCTCTTCTTCCTCTCACTCACCTCCTAGCACCAGCTGGGTGGATACCATAAACTAGACTCCTACATGGTCAGATGAGCCCTGGAAGGATCTGGAGTTGGCAGACCAGTAGCACAACCCCACCTATTTCACTTAAAACTTTTGACTTCAGGGCTTGCCTCAGTAGAATATAGATAATAATACATTCCTCTTGGAGTCTTCAAAGTCCTGAGAGAGAAGTGTCAAACAGAGCTGGCATTCTGAGAAAACTGGTAAACATTTTTTTACCTCTCTTCCCAGAATTTTATTCCACTGACTTCCATTTAGAAACTGCCCTGGCTCCAGGGATAGAGCACATGCACTAACTAAATCAGCTATCCCTCTGGCAAAAGTGATTTTTTCAGGCAGGGCATGGTGGCTCACACCTGTAATCCCAGCACTTTGGGAGGCCGAGGCAGGAGGATTGCTTGAGCCTAGGAGTTCGAGATCAGCCTGGGTAAGAGAGCAAGACAACATCTCCTCAAAAAAGGGAAAAAGGATTCTTTCCTCCAGACTGTGCAGGTAAACTATATCAACCCAACTTCAGTGAATTTGAAGGAAATATTTGAAATATTTTCCTGAGATTGAAAGTATTTTCCTGAGATTGATGGGACAAAAATTATTTCTCTCCAACTCAAATTGAAAGGGAAAGCAGTTGGCCCCAGAGTTGTTGGCCAACATTTGAGAGGTACACAAGGATCTAGCCTTGGTAGGTCATCTTCTGGCAGATGCAGGAAAGGCACAGGAAATAAAGAGAAAGAAAAAAATGCTCTAGGTGACACCTTTGTACCCTGTATCAAGTCTCATGAAGAGCGAGCCAGGCTGTTCTTTTCAGTTATAAAACCGCCTTTCCAAAATTATGACTGAGACAGTGAAAGAGATTAACTTAACTGACTCCATCTTGCTTCTAACCTCCAAGCTGTCCTTGTTCATTCCTGGGGGTAGACTGAACTAACTTTGGGAGAAACTTAGTTTATACTTTATAGCTTACAGTTTAAAACAAAGACGATAAAAGCCCTTTCCCAAAGCAGACCTCCTTCTTGCCTGGAGACTAGATCGCCTCTGTAGGACAAACATTAGCCACAAGATGAGCAATTATGGTTTAGGAGTCATGCAGCTGGAGGCTACAAGACTGTGATGCTCCCTAAACTGCTCCTAAGATCAGTACTTGAGATATTTTGCAGACCTTGCACAGGATGGATCGGCTGACACCACCCAAACTGGTAATCTGGTCCAACCAGTTCTGCCACCACACCCAGGAACAGCAGACATTAAGAAAACCTCACCTCGACCCCCTATGATTCCATTGCCAACCTGACCAATCCCCACTTCCCAAGCCCCTACCCGCCAAATTATCTTGAAAAACTCTGATCCCCAAATGCTCAGGGAAACTGATTTGAGTAATAGTAAAACTCCGGTCTCCTGCATAGCCGGCTCTGCATGAATTTCCCTTTCCCCATTGCAATTCCCCTGTCTTGATAAATCGGTTCTATCTAGGCAGCAGACAAGGTGAACCCATTGGGCGGTTACAGTTACATGTCAGTGACTTGGTTTTATTGGTTGGAGCAATTTGAGCCAGATTTGCTGTTTCTAGCACTCCAAAGCATCCTAACTAATACAGTTACAGAAATCTAGGGGATAACGCAGCTGAGTAGGACAGAACTCCAAAGGGTTCCCCTGGGAAAATAAATAGAAATTCTCCAATTCAGCAGACTTAAAATTTTATATCCCAAGGTGCCTTGAAAAATCTGATACAAACAATAAGTAGGTCCTCTTCTTGGGAAGCCAAAGGAAAAAAAAAAAAAGTAGTAGTACTTGGGCACACACATAAAAATTTTGCTATGATGTCAGAGAGAATCACAGTGTCTCTAAAGTCCTTAAATGTAATAGCACTTGTCATAAAGTAAAATAATGTATTTGGTTCAGAAGAATAGCCAGACTCTAATATCAGGAGAGCAAGTCTGGGGACAACCCTGTGTTGCTGGTTGTTGGCAGGACATCTATACCTGTCTGCATCTTAGAGACTATTTCAACCCAGCATCAACAGTCTGACCTTTGCTCTCAAACTGCTTCCTCTAATCTCTCTGCACCATAGAATAAACAAGAGTCTCATCAACTAATTCCTTAAAAACTGTCACAAAGTGTGTTGGGGGATGACACTGCTCCCCACCCACAACCCTCACCAATACCTCCACTCCCAGCTCTGCCACAGATTTGGTTACTGGAACAGAGGCAAAGATTTCCACTTAGCTTAAGTGAGAGTATGCATTAGGTCTAGACAAAATTCTTTTGATTCTAGCTTTTAAACCAGGGTTCCAAACAATGGGGAGCCTCGTATGCTAACGTCAAATTTCTATTACCATTGTATTTACAAACCTCATATTTTAATTTTGATCTTAACTCTGACTTGCAATTGATCACGGCATTGCCCTTTTTGCTTTGTTTTGTTTTTAACCTTTGGGGTCTTACTTGGATCTGCCACATAGATTGAGGACATTTAATCAGACTTCCTTTTTTTTGAGGCAAACTATAAAGCATATCTTTCATAATACAGTGAATAACTGACCTCACACTTACATGTTCCTTTAAACCTACAACTATTAGAATGGTTTATAACCAATTATTATACCCTCTGTTCTGGTGACCACTGACCTGATTCTCTGAATTTGGAGTTCACATGGTTTTAGATCTTGGCTCAGTTTAAGTTCCCTCTCTGAAAGGAATGTTTCTTAAAGCAGAGCTCCTGAAACTTTAAGCTGCCTGTGAGTCTCCCCCACAGCCTCCGGAGATCTTGTTAAACTGCTGATTCTCTTTCAGTGGGTCTGAAGTGGGGCCTGAGACTCTGCATTTCTAACAAGCTGGTAGGTGCTGCTACTGCTGCTGGTTTTGTGGATCGCACTTTGAGTGGCAAGTGCTTATAGGATTTGCAGCGAAAGGTCTTACAGTTTGCCTCTCCCACACACCTACCCTCATTACCATGGACCAACAGGAGATACTCATTAAGAACTTGGTGACTTGCTGTTACAGTTGAAGGAGATTACCCTGGGTAGTAACTAAGCAGTGAAGAGCTCCACCGCCCTACCTGTAAATGTTAAAAATGTAGTTATAGTGCAAGGTGTGCATCATAATGACTGGTCCTAAGAGGCCTATTTGTATGGGAGCCAGCAATTTCAGAAAAGAGCCCCTCCAAGCTGAATAACACTCAGGATCCAAAAACCCCTCAATCATCTGTACAGAGACCTACATTGAGACCCAGAAGAAAATGCTCCCATTAACCCTTTTAATTTGCATTAGCGCAATTCTCATTTTAATTTATTTTCTCTGCAGCCATTATACCTCATTTTTACATAACATGACTCTGAAATGTTCTGAGCTTTGAGAATATAAAATACTAAAAGAAAGAGGCTTATTTCTCAACTGATGAGGGCATTGAGAGAGATAAGATATCGTCCAACTGCCAAAATACTAGAATCCTCTCTGGCTACAGAAAAGGAAAAATTATCACTAAGGGCTGTACTTTAAAAAATTAAACAATGTCAGGCCAGGCGCGGTGGCTTACGCCTGTAATCCCAGCACTTTGGGAGGCCGAGGTGGGCGGATCACCTGAGGTCGAGAATTCGAGACCAGCCTGACAAACATGGAGAAACCTGTCTCTGCTAAAAATACAAAATTAGCCGGGCGTGGTGGTGCATGCCTGTAATCCCAGCTACTCAGGAGGCTGAGGCAGGAGAATCCCTTGAACCTGGAAGGTGGAGGTTGTGGTGAGCTGATATCGCACCATTGCACTCCAGCCTGGGCAATAAGAGGAAAACTCTGTCTCAAAACATACATACATACATACGTAAATAAAAAGTCAAATATCCAATTTTATTAGCACCTTTCAATGTTCTCAAAACACTTTATTAACTGGCATAACCTTCATCTTCATAATATATCAGTGAGGTTAGGGCTGACTAACCAGTGTTGTCAAATATTACAAATCGAATTTTATCTTTGAAAGCCTATGTCATATTTTATTATTAGAGAAGAAAGAAAACCCTAGGTTTTCCCTCACACTCCTCCTCCAACGAAATGTCTATCTGTATCTCTTTCTCTCTCTCTCTCACACACATACACACACACACACACACACACACACACACCCTTAAATTCAGAGGTCAAACGAGGGGGCTGTGACTTGGCAAACTCAAACCATTATATATCTCTACAGCTGTCACTCATACACAAAATAATATAGTGAGGACAATCTAATGCCATACTGTGAAAATAGCTTCTCTCAAAACAGGACATAGGAAAACACTTCAGAGAGAATTTCAAATACCTTCTTCAAACAGCTGTTTCTAATGGTTTCACAGGACAGGTTTCACATAAAAAGAAATGAAGACATAATTTAACAACACTACTAATTGTATGCATTTTACCTACATTATCACATTTAATCTTCACAACTTTTCAAGTATGATCATCCCAATTTCTCAGATGAAATTGGGAATTAAAAAGAAGAAAAATGACAACACCCCCAAAATCACAGGGCTAGAAAATGGCAGTAGGTGAGACTTGAATCCAGGGCTGACTGTCTCAGATTCTCAACTCTCCAAAGACCTTGGCTATAATCACTAGATCAGTGTTCCTCAAACTTTAATATGCAAACAAGTCACTTCAGGGAGTTGATGAAAATACAATTCTAATTCATTACATCTGAAGTGGGACCTGATAATTTGCATTTCCAACAAGGTCTCAGGTGATGCTAATGCAGGTGGTCCAGGGAGCATACTTTGAATAGTAAGACACGAAAATATGCACTTTGAAGGTGTTTCTCTAAGTGTGGTTCCTTGGCTAGCAGCATCAGCAACACCTGGAAGGTTGTTAGAAATGAAAATTCTCAGGCTCCACCTGACACCTACTTTGGAGTAAGGTTTTAGGAATCTGTTTCTTAACAAGCCCTCCTGGGGATTCTGATGTACATTCAAGTTGAGAGTCATTGGTTAATGTCCAGCATTTCTACAAACAATCCAACTCTATACAGCTTAGAATGATTTTGTCTCGTTTTCCTAGGTCACACTTTACAATGTATTTAAATGAAACGTTTAGGTGAAAATAACCACATCTTTGGCTATAAAGTAATCTGGCCAGAGAAAAGCTGTTACTGTGAAGGTAACCTTGCTCCATTGCACTGCAGCAACACTTCATCATAGGCTGTTGGTGTGTGATCCCAGAGAGAGGTCAGTGGGTGGGGAGGGAGGGACTGACACTCATCTCATTAATTTCTCCCCTTCAAAAGGGGTAGGATTTATTTTTCCAAATGGGTCGCCCTACAGAATGCCCAACTTTTCTTCTCTATTCTGTTGCGCTTTGCAAAACAAATACTTAGTCTCACATTTTCATTCTGAACAGTGACTCCGAAATAAGAATTTTCCCTTAATTTGAGAAGAAACATGTCAAATAATTAACAAACAAACACAAAAATAGTTATCTTAGATCTCCAGCTGGGATGAGTGGTAAAATTCAGAGGGAAGTTTTAGTCCTTGGAAGTCTTAGATACTTGAAAATGAAAGATTTAAATATGATTCATCTAAATAACAAAACAATCTTCAACCACATTTCTAATAATATGTGATAAATTAATTTTGCACTCAACTATGTGCTTTACCTGAATTATCTCATTTAATCCATACAGCAATTCTGCAAAGCAAGCACTACTTTATTCCCATTTTAAAGGTTATCTAATGGGCTGACAGTGGATACATAAATTGTCCAAAGTCACATGGGTAGTAAAAGTCAGAGCTGAGATTTCATTCCAGACCTGTGGGATTCTAAAGCCTGAGCTCTCGATACACATGATCCTATCTCTACTAAGTACACTGGAGGGAACGCAGTGGTAAAATCGAAGTTCAAAAATATAAATCATATATGTTATATTATTCTTGAAAACCCTGAAGGCTGCCGTAACTACCCAAAGTAACCCTCTCCACGAAGTAACCATCCTAGGTGGAACTAGGATTTCCCTTTCCCATGATGGCTGCTGTTCTGTCCTAACACTTACTCTTCCTTCACACACACACACACACACACACACACACACACTCACATACACACACACACACACCCCGGCTGCCTGGGCTCATGGGAGAACTTGGTAAATTCACCCTACTGATTCCTCAAAGTCTCCCAACTCCCATATGTGAAGTTCAGTAATAGAGTGATGTCACCGCCAATCATTGTTACAATCCTCACAGCTGGGTAAAAGGACTTCCATGGAGAACCAAGGAAGTAATCTTCTGTACTTTACATTCCCCAGCATAGACAGGACAGGACAGAGTCTTAGGAGTCCTGTAAATAAAAACAAAGCCACAGGCTGTTTGGTGAAGCAATCAGAAGGGAGGAGAAATTTAAGAGGAAGTAGTTTGAGTGTCGGGGAGTTTGCAAAATTTATTTAAAGACACATAACAAACCAGTAATACGGTATGAAAAACCTGACCTCAAGAGCCTACATTTCTCTACAACAGTATTACAGGAGATCCATTCTTTAGGACAGTGCTTGGTCCTCTAGTGATTCCTGGGCATCCTAAGATTTAGTGTTAATGCATTTATCATGTGAGGAATTGGCAGCCAGAAATGTCAATATTGCACCAGATTCCAAAGAGATTGGCTACGTAAAACTTTAAGGAAAAAACAAAATCATTTCCTCTTTTATATGTCCAGGCACAAACATCATTCCATTATAACACATGAAATTTTGGAAATAAGACTTATTCTTTTCTCTTTACCATCACGATGGAAGACCAACTGAAACAGATTATACTGCATGGAAGAAAGCAATATATCGCCATCCTTTTCCTGAAGTCATCATTAGATATACCAGCTCCTGCATCTGTGAGGGATTGCCATTTGGAGCTGGTTAGCTGTGAGTCTACATTCACTTGAAACATCTGATTGGTTCAAACAACTTTAATGATTCTAACAAAGATGAAGACATTAAACATTGAGCTCATTATTAGTCAGAACTCTGCCATGTTCCCTGCTGTATAATTAACTCCTTTCATTCAACACATTTAAAATAGCATCAATAAGGAATATTTAATTACCTCCCTCCAGAAGAAGGTCCCGACTCAGATTCAGTAGCCAGTTTCACATGAAGTTCAACTTAAATTGTTCTTAAAATAATGTTTCTGCTAACTATAGGGAACAGTTAAGTCCAGGAAATTTAAATCTAGGGAATAGAAATATACGACAGAATTGGACGAAAAACATCTTGTCGGTCATTTTTCAAGAAATAGGTGAAGCGTTTTTAACGGCAGCATATTTTCCCAAGGAGTTTAAAGTATGTGGCCAAGGTCATAAGAAAGAAACATAACTATAGAGATGAGAGAAAGTGTTATGTGAACATTTATACTCAGGGTGTATTTTATCAATAGTAAAATATGTAAGATGTTGGGTTCTACACAAGCCTGACCTTGGGGTTGTTCATAATCCAGCTACCAGAAAGTAAGAATGTGTGGATGGAAACCACAAAGATGCCAACTGAGATAGTGCTTCAATTATGCCTTAGGAGTTGAAAGAGTCATAGCACAGGTGATTCAATTAGGGGGCCTTGCTTCCAATGTATGCAGCACCCGCTTTTTATAACATAACACATGTTTATTATTGTGGCCTTCGGGAAATCATTACTGAAACCTAAATATCCAAAAAGAAAGGACAGCCAGCCCAAATTAACTTCAGATACTGACAGGCCATGCCATTTGTTTGCCATTCTGACTGCAAGGACATTTGATGATCACTTACTCAAAAGAGCAAAGTCATTTACAACTCTTCCTTCTCCTTGTCGTCACCATCACTGACACCAGATCTGTAAAGAGCTCCAACTGTGGACACCAAAGTATGCTTGATATTATAGAGGACAATTGTTTTGGGCCACTCAGTGCCCGGTTTTCTTTTGGGAAATTACATCTCCTTCCCATTGTTCACAGAGGTGTAGGATTGTCAAAAGGTGATTTTTTTTTCTGCTTCTCTTAGGGGTAAGCACATGACCCAATACCTTGGAGGCTTCAGCAGGCTGTTGTAAGAATGGGGGGAAATAATTGGAGTTTATGCATTCTAGCAGCTGCAGCCTAAAATAGCTATTAATTAGTCCCTGTTACTTAGACCTCCCAAGATTCTCTGATTGTTTTTGGAAACCTCTTCCTTTAGTCTTTGCTTTGATTCTGTAAGCTACCCCAAAGACTTTTAATACATTCCTGACCAACTTGAGGTAGTCTAAGCCTATAGTATCTGTTGCTTGCAACCAAACTGTCTGAATTGATGCAGATGTGGAGCATATAAGTAGGTGCATATTATGATATTTGCCCTAAAAAAGCAAATGGCCCACTTGAGTAGAAATAATGCATGCACAAAAGGGATAAATGGCATTATAACGTAGTTAATGCTAAGTGACAGATAAATGGGACCAGAGTTGAGGGATGAAAGTCGTGAATGTAGGCAGAATAGAAGGGGGTTCTAGACATGGTAGGACTGCACTTAACTAAATGCAGAAGAGCAGCTGGGGTTATATAAAAGAAACTTGAAAATAATAAAAGTAGAGCCAAAAAGTGATATGTATATATGTGCAATATATGTACATACATACAAACAATGATATATATATAGTATATATCATTGTATAAGCCCTTAACACTCTATTCCCATGAATTACAATTCCTTTACCCTTCAGATGTGGAAAAATATATGTATATTTTGTATAATTCTAGGACAGCTTTCTCACTTTCTCTTAATAAAAAGAGTAAAAGGAGTACAGAATATAGCATAAACTTTCTCTGTTAATAGAGGGGTGTGAACACGCAGAAATATAATAGGGAGAAAAAATACAACAAGCATAAATTCAGGATTTTCTGTTGTACCTACTCTGAAGAAGAAAATAAATAAAATAGTATCAGGACTGTCATACTATTTTCCTCCAAAAATTACTTCCTATAATGGGAGAGGAAAAAAGCAAAGTAAAATAGTCTCCCAGTGCAAGCACAGCTACTTGCACACACACACACAAATACACACATCCCACCATGCCAACAAATCTCCTTTCTTTACAATAAAAAATCTTTATACTGTAACATAAGAGCACATCCCTGTAGCTGCCTGCAATCAACATTTTGAAGAAGAAACAGCACAGTTCTTTACAGCAATTAGGAGAGCAGAGCCTGTGTGTCACTGCTGAGCTTTTTGCCTCCTACCTAGTGAAGGACAGGAAAGGGAGTCACTGAGGCAACATGGAGGCTGGGTAACCTCCACACCCAATAATTGTCTGCCAGGCAAGGCTGGGAATATTTATTTGGCTCTAGGGCCTCACAACCTTATCTCCAGTCTAATGTTTAATAAACAGATGCAAAATAAGACCAATCCTCCTTCAATATTTTATATGAGCTTATAAAAAATTAAGAATGTTATTGTATGTATCAATTTTAAAATAAGTAATGATTCATTATCAGGTCCAAGTCACAGCTCACAACTCTACTGATTTATGAAGCAAACACTTAAGAAGGCCGAGGACATCATAATAATGTAGCACGCTTGCCACTACCACACTAATATATCTTTTGCCTAGATTCCTGCAGCAGCCTCCTCGGTGGCTCCAGTCTTCTACTTTGCCTCTTTATGGTATAATTGGCACCCAGCCGCCAAGATGATTTTAAAATATAAATTAAATTATATTAAATTCAAAGCCCATTTGTTCACCTACAAGGCCATACACAATATGCTCCTGGTTATCTCTTTGACCTCACTTTACCCCCTGTCCTGCCCTGCGGGCTCACTGTCTTCTAGCCATCAGCCTCCCACTGTTTCTCCAATAAGCCAAGTGCATTCCTGTTTCAGGGTGATTATACCTGCTATTTCCTCAGCATGGAATGCTCTTCTTGGATATCCTTACATCTTGTTGCTTTGCCTCATTCAGGCACTTATTTCAATGTCACTGCCACAAAGAAACCTTCTCCACCCAAAATAGCATGCCCTAGCACACTCTCCATTCCCTCATTCTACTTTATTTTTTTATAGCACCTCATTCTACTTTATTTTTTTCATAGCACCATTGAAGAGTATATATTTATTTCCAGATTGGTTTAATATCAGTATACCTGACTAGAATGCCATTCCATAAAGGCAAGAAGTTTATATTGTTTTTAGCCCCATCCCCTGGGCCTCACACAGTGCCTAGGACATAGTAGGCATTCAGTAAGTACCTGTGAATGAACGAATGATTGCACTACTTTACAATAGCATGCTGCTTTCAATTTCACATTATTTTATTTTCAGTGGGGACCTAGAACTACACTGGAAGTGCAGCTTCTCAGGGCTCAAGATCGGCACACAGCAGTATTCATATTTGGCTTTAAAAAGAGAGAGAGAGAGATGGCAACATGAAGAGATTGATTCAAATTCTCAACAGTTCTTAAATTTTCTCGTCATCATTTCAACTCCAATGCAAGGCTCTTTCACTGCACAAGGATATCTGAAGATGCCTAAAAGCCTCAGAATATCAGGTCCAAATAAGATTAGGACTGCTAAGAGCCATCATGGATATTTCTCTAGCAATTTCAGCATCTACACTGGACAAAGGAGAAGCAAAAGTTGAACAAAACCAGAGGGCTTTTTCTTTTTAAGAAGGAAATGAATGAGCATAACTCTCCATCTCCTCCTTGCTCCCATCCTTAACTCTTATTAGGCCATAAACTATTGCCTAAGGACTCATTATCCCAGGCTTCAGCGGCCCTTCTCCAATGGTGGGAAGAAGAACTCCACCCACTACATCATCTTAATCAGCAACTTAGAAAACAGTGCCACATAAAACAGCAGCAGACCTGAAAAAGTGCAGTAATTGCAATAGAACTGCTAACTAACCATTCAGCTCCACTTCTGCATAATTAAGAAGGTGGTTTATGACAAGCATTTGTGGCATTTAAAACATTAAAAGGAAAAGTAGCAGAACGAGCCACACCAGGAGCCTTGCAGTCACTGAAGGGAGAGGAGGTGGAGAGGAATCAGGCTGAACCTAAAGAAAACACAGACTCTTTTCTTATTAGAGTCTCTATCCCCCCAGTGTGTTTTTTTTTTCTTTTCCCTTTTGCAAAATGAGTAGTTGAGGGGATAATTTAGCAACCAGGCTTTTGCAAAGGTAGCTGCTGTGTGCTTAAATTACCAAAGAAATGCTTTCAATTGCTCCCCTTTAGAATGAAAGCGCTGCATGGTATTTTCCCGGGATTGGAGCTTTGCACACAGCAGGGGGGTGCAGGGGAGTGCTGGGAAAGTAGGATGGAGATGAGAGAAAGATGGTTGGTAAGGATAAAACTCTAGTTTATCTACTTTGGGATACAACGTTAGAGAACAGAGAAAAGGGTGGTCATTACAATGTATCAGAAAGGCACCCCACTTAGTATTTCCTAAGACAGTCCCTTGATAAAACGAATCATTTTTCTAGTCAACAAATGTGTAGTGCATGTAGTGGAACCCTATGTTCCAGACACTAGAATGAACGCTGTGAATATGGAACTAAACACAAAAGCAATTGTATTCTCACAAAGACCTCACAGTCTATTGAGGGATGCAGCCTAGAAAACAAGAACCCAGTGTGGATTAGTAATGACTCAGAGTATCCAGCGCTGGGAAAACCCAGAAGAAGAAATGTTTGAGTCCGTTTAGAGAAAGTTTCCCAGAACATAGCATGCATTGAAGGAATGTTTCTGAATGACAGAATCAATAAAATGATAGATCAATCAACTTATTTGTAAGGAAGATGCCATTTAAATCTGGTCTTAAACGGTGAGTAGAAGTTCACTAGACATTCTTAGCAGAGGAAACAGCACACAGAAAGGTGCGTAAGCTCGACAGCGCAGGACGTATTGCGGACTGGAACTACCGGTGCATACTGGTGAGTTGTAGGAGATGAGACTGGGAAATCAAAGGCCATGCCAAATTTTTCAGCAGAAACTTGATATGACCAAGGCTACACAAAAAGCTAAAATCAAAGGCAGGCAAACCAGTTAGAAGCCTTTCATTACAGAAGAGGCAAAAGCAATAAGCAGTATAAGGTTGGTGCGAAAATCATTGCGGTTTTTGCCATTACAAGTAACGGCATTTTAATTTGCACCAACCTAATAGAATTAAGGTCTCCTTCAGGAATGCAATTCAGAGGTCTGAGGATTTTTGTATCTTTAACACATGCCCACCCATGTGGTGTAAATATAGTTGAAGGCAACCATGCTGAGAGCTAACAAAACAAAAACCGTGCCAAATTGCTAACACTATAAGATACACACATGCTTTTCCATCTAATCAGCACATTTCCTCATTTGGGAATGTAATAAAGTAAAAGTATCTGCCTGAATGAAATACAGTCTAAATGTCTCAACAATGACACCTAAACAACTAAAGTGTGTAGTACTTTCACACACACACACACACACACACACACACACAGCAAAAGCCTTAATTAAAACTTTAAAAAGCAAACTTTTTTTTTACACTTTGAGCAGAGGGGTGCATGTTTGATATGTCTTGATAGAGAATCAGACAGGATGAGAGATAAAGACCAATTATTTCATAGTGTGAAAATTTCTTGCAAAATACACTTACATGGGAATTTCAGCATTTACTTCCTAATCTTAACGGTGGTGGGTAATTAAAGGTGACTGTCCTAAAAGCTGCCTTGGATTTTTCCAGATTCAGGGTTGCCCATAATGAAAATTTCAATATCATTTCAAAGTTGAAACCTAAAAGCATAAATTAAAGAGTAATAGTGACCATAGAAAGCTTGAGGCAAATCTTTTAAATGTGATTGTTCCAGTGTGCTATAGGTTTTCTCTGTCTAATAACAGTCAGGGCCTCTGAACTCCAGCAGTATTTTTCTGGGTTTATAGGTGAATTACAGTCAAGCAGTGGAACTGAATTGCAGAACATTTGACCAAATAGTCCTGTGAATCTAGACAACTCTGTGGAGAGGTTAGGAATATAAGCAACTTTTATACCTTGTGCATAAGCATGGGACCAAAGTTCAGTGTCTTTTCAATGCACATTTGTAGAGAAGAATGATGAAAAGAAAAAAAAATCTCATTTACATTTCTCCACATAGACAAAATATTTACCAATATACAGCTTAATATACAGCATCCTAAGTTACTGGAAAAAATACATTATAAGGCTTTCATTATCACAAAGGATGTTGCCCTTAGCATCCCTAGACTGCATCTGTAAAGGAAACAGTCAATCAGCCAGCTAGGGTAAAATTGAAGGTATGTTTTTGGGAAAGGACCAGGACACCATACTCGTTTAGCCAAAATAAAAGTTTCATTTTCTAAGTGAAACGTTACTGAGCCAACAAATGGCTTTGGCATTTGACTCAAAGATGAAGATGAAGGGGATCTACACTATAAACATGATTTATTTCACACATTTATTTCATTCTAACATTGTGACTAGACATGGACCTCTCAATCTTTCCAGGCAAGGTTAAACAGGAAAGTGAAATATCTACTTAATTTGAAAAGCATAGAGGACTACACTAGGGTATGTAAGTGATTAGGGTATTAGAGCCTCTTTCTTTTTCTTTCTCTTCTCTATGCTTTCTCCATTGGGAGATGGTATCTGCTGTCGCTGGTCTAATTCACCTTTCTGTGAAGATGGGCTACCTACCTTTACTTCTATCCCTCACTCCACTCCTCTATGCCAGTGACACATCTTGAATGCCTTGTAAGCATCATGTGTATTAGGCAACCCAACATCAACTCAAATAGACCAAAATTCTGCAGCCACCTAAAATCAGCAGCCCACCAGCCATTTCTGTTCATGGTTATTTTAGCAAACAGAAGATACACACAATACAGGTTCAGGGAATGAATGGCTATCCATTTTGCAGCCTTCCGGGCACAAGACCTTGAAATTTCCCATCTTTTCTTCTCTCAGCCCCAACATCAAATCACTCTCCACATCCTGGTGACACTTCACTTAAAATTCCTCTGGAATCAAATATTTCCATCATTGCAAATCCCTTCTTAATACTCCAAGTTGTTATCATCTCATACCTGGACTCTCACAATAGCTCCCTTGTTCATCTGTCTATTAACAGATCCACCCCTTCCTATCTCTGTGATAGGACACTTCCATATTAATTCACTAAAAATCTCTTTTGATGGGCGAGGCACGGTGGCTCACACCTGTAATCCCAGCACTTTGGGAGGCCGAGGCGGGCAGATCATGAGGTCAAGAGATCAAGATCATCCTGGCCAACATGATGAAACCCCATCTCTACTAAAAATACAAAAATTAGCTGGAAGTAGTGGTGTGTTCCCACTACTCGGAAAGCTGAGGCAGGAGAATTGCTTGAACCCAGGATGCAGAGGTTGCAGTGAGCCAAGATCATGCCACTGCACTCCAGCTTGGTGACAGAGCAAGACTCCATCTCCAAAAAAAAAAAAAAACTCTTTTGATCACGTTAATTCAGTAGCTAAAGCCATCAGTCACTTTATCAACTAGAGGAAAATATTCAAACAGTCCAATCCATGCTTTCATAATTGGCTTTCTTCTGAAATTCCCTGACTTACCTCACACTAGCTAAGCAATTCTCAAACAAGGCTCACATATTCTCATCTCCATGTTTTTGCCTAACTAGGGATCAACAAACAATGGCCCACAGACCAGATTCTGGCTGCTACCTGTTTTTTGTAAATAAAGTTTTACTGGAACACAGTCACGTCCATTTGTTTACATATCATTTATAGCCGCACTTCATGGTACAACAGCTAAATACTTGAGACAGAGACCATATGGCTTGCAAAACCCAGGTGAAGCTTCATGGGTATGCAGCCAGTAGAGTCACACAGGACCCTGTACCACCTGCTCTTGGTTTAATATTCTCCTGTCTCTCCGTCTTGAAACACTTAATAATTTTATCTTTGAATTTGTGTTTTTGAATGAAGTCTAATGAAACAATTAGGCATGTGCAGTAGCAAAAGAGAGATGCATAAACATATGGATATACTATACACATGCCCATTGTTTCTTGCCACTTCACCCCCTATAGCTCTCACAATACCCCGGGAGTAGAAGATTCTGGTAGACTTAGGATGCACACTCAATGAGACTCAAAGCGATTGCAAAGTCTCTCACATCTACTCTGAGTAAGCTGGGATGCTGACAGTCCTTAAAGAACATGTTTTCCATTGGAACCAAAACTTGCTTTGAACACAGAAAGAAAACGATGGCATTCTAAGAAACATAAATGACTAAGGAACCTAATTATAGCCTTTCTTACTCATGTTACTTCCATGAATTGACCAACCACCTCAGCTGAAAATTATGTCAAAGAAGGAAAAGAAAAGAAAAAGCAACTCAGTTTCTTTTCTTTTCAGTCTTTTCTTACTCATTAGGAAGCCAAAGGAAGAGAGTGTTTGTTGAATATGTGTATATCAAGAAGTGAAATAAATAAAAACAGGTGAGTTAATCTGTGCAGTGTGTCCAGTTTTCTGGTAAGAACAAAACATATATGCACTGCATGAGCTATGAAATAAGAAATGTTTCCTATGTCAGTAATTCTGCAAATGAATTAGAAGTTCTTATTCAGAACTTATTTAAGACTGGCATGGCATAATATAAAGATGAATGGCAAAATTCATGCTAATAATTTAACATTTTCTTTCCTTAGAATGACACTGAAGAGCAAATATAAAACAACATGACAAGTTTAGAGAGAGAAACCATGGAAAAAGGAAAAAGAGCTTTATGTTTTAAGTACTTCTCATGGCACTTCGTTATTGCTTTTTGAAAAAGGGACCCACTATTTCATTGTGCAAATTATGTAATCAGCCTCCAAAAAGCCTAAAATATTTACTCTCTGCCCTTGACTGAAAATGTTTTGTTAATGTCTGACACTGATTCTAACATGATCACCTGCATGGCAAGTTTTCTGCCTATAACAACATACCTTTTCTTCAAGTTCCAATCAAAACTTTAGCTCCTCCTCCTTAACAGCCTTTTATATTCACCACTGGTGCTGAATTCACTTTTATAAATTTGTGTATTTCATTTGAGAATGAAACATGCTTACCTTTGTGATATCTACTGTCCCTCCTAAATAATATACTTTTAATTACTTTACATTTATAATAATTTCTTTTTCTTTTTCCTTTTCTGTTAAATTTTAAGTTTCAGGATACATGTGCAGGATGTGCAGGTTTGTTACACAGGTAAATGTGCACCATGGTAGAGTCACACAGGACCCTGTACCACCTGGTTTGCTGCACCTATCAACCCATCATCTAGGTATTAAGCCCCACATGTGCTGTTTGAGAAAAGCAACCATGAATAAGGGAAAGATATCAAGAAAAACCAAACTGTGCCACTGTTCTTGAACAAAATGAAAGCCAAACTAAATAAAGGCTTTTCTTATCTGTACATCAAAGAACGGATAAGACATATCATTTTAGGCAACCAAATGCCATGCTGTGAGCCTGTGGTAGCCACACCAATGGACCAAAGAAAGATACTGTCCTCCTCCAAGTATATATAATCTAATAAGGACCAAAATATATTTATATAATACAAGGTAAATGGGATTAATCATAAAAAGAAGCACAGAATAATATGCAATGGAAATTCAAAGGGTTTCCCCTGGGAGAGAGTAGACTTCATGGGACACAGATGATATCTGAACTGCACTGAGGAGAAGGGTGGGAAGAACAGCACAAGAGGAGGAAACTGGACAAACAGAGGCCTGGCAGTATGGATGTGTGTGCTTGTGGGGGAATGTGCTAATTCAAATGGGCCCTCCCCTTATTTCCGCCAGCCATTGTTGCAGGGTGTTTCTGAGCTGAGAAGACCCAGATGGCCATGTAGATGGTGTTAGTAAGGAGGACAAGTTCTTAAAAGGGAGCTAGGGTGTCAGTAAGTTCCAAGAAGATTGAACTCTCATCTCTCCATTTTTGACCCTTGAATCAAGAATCTATAGGGGGTTACAAGGAAAAGACGAGAATCTATTTATAGGTCTACACCAAAGAGATTCAAGTGAGTAATAGGCTCCTCCAAGCTACGGCATTTCTGGGGGAGCTGCAAATGCAGTGATATATTCTCTGAACATAAGGAGCCCTTCAAGGGACATCAAGGAAAAGGCTACTCAGCTTATAATGCCTACTTTCCCTGAGCTGTCATTCTGGGGCACATGGTGTGAAAGAAAGAAGAAAGAAGGGAGCGAGGGAAAGAAGGTGGGAAGAAGGAAGATTAAGAAGAAAAGCAAGGGCAAATTTGCTTCTAATTCTCCATCTCAAGATGAGAGACTGAGCACTTTTTTTTAAATTTGTTTTTGAAAAAGAGGTTTCACATTTTTTATGCTGATGGAGGACATTGAGGATGGGGCATCAGGAGCAGGTACAGTCAGAGAGAGGACCAGTTTGTAAATAAGGCAAAAGGTATCATACAGGACATTAAACACAATTTTGTTCGTCTTTATCTTTTTAAAACCTCTGTTCGTATATAAAACTAAAACATATATTTGGTAAATAAGGGCCATCTGGCAGAGTTCAATAATCTGGCTTGTGACAATGTTATGTGGCTTTCTCTCAAAGCAAACACAGATCTTTTATATTTATTTCAAAGAAGAGTTTCTGGGCACCTAGAGTAAAGATGAGAATGAAAGAGACAGAAACGGACCAAGGTCAGAGTCCCACAATATTCTTTCTTGTTATTTCAAGTGTCATGTCCTGAGAAAATATAGGGTTTCTGTTTCTTAAATCTGAAGAAACAAGTAGGCTACAAGATGGGAGATAGAATGACACAGCATAAGGAGAAAAGTCCTTGCGGTGAGATGTCTCTGAATTCAGACCTGTGCAAGTCACCAATTTTTCTAGCCTTGCTTCTTTACTATATAATGGAGATAATGGTACCTACCCTCATACTGTTGTCATGGGGGCTAAACAATATATACACATATATCTAGTCCAGTACCAGACATATTGTTGGCACCCAGTAAGCAGTATTGTTAATATGATTTAGGGATACGGACTAGGGACTTATTTATGCACTAAGGTCCTTAAGAAGAAAGGGGATGAAATTCAGCACTCTGTGGCCTCTACTGCCCATCTGAAATACATTATCATCACTTCCAAGTCTTAAATTATGTAAAACATATCCCTGTGGCACAAATACTAAGCAAATGTTAATGATGTCACTTTGGCAAAGAATGTAAATATCAATGCAAATAGACAGTACTTGGAAAGGCAGCTGCTTTTATCTCATCACTGCAGCAATCCTCTCCAGAAGATTTAGACATTGAAACCACAATGGTAGAGGGCACCCGCAGACCCTTCTCTCTACCTTTCCAGCAAGAGTAGCTTTTTTTTATTTTTTATTTTTTCCTTTTGAAGAAAGAAGAGCTACTATATATCTCAAAGAGAAACTGCATCTCACGATGGCCCTGTCTTCTAACAGACAAGATGGCATTGTGCACACAGGCAAGTCAGAGAGTGAACTACAGCATATATACAAGGTGTCTCATCTAAGTGACAGGTTGCCTACAGCGCTGCATGCTGATTCTAGGCAACACCTTTGGGGAACAGTTGACAGCTGCAGTCTTGACAAGAAAAGAAGAAGACCTTCTTGAAAAAGCATGTGCATGCAAGCAACACACAGACACGCTTTCACCTGCCTCATGCTTTCAGAGTGCCTCTAAAAACAAGACAAATTAAAAATAGCCACTAGGGAACTAAATGACCATGGGGATTAGCAGGTTGCTTAAATATGTAAGTCTTTACTTTTCTGTTTATACGCAATTATAGACCCTTGACTTGTCTACCACTGTTTGCTAGGAGTTTTAGAATCTACCAGGATTATGTCCAGACCTCAAAACAGTAAGCATTAATGTCAGTCCTCCAGCAAGAGTAAAGTGGGATGTAGCATCGGGAGTGGCCAACATGTGAGGCAAGTGTGGGCTCTCTGTCACCTTGTCAATACTAGCATGGCACAATGTTTTTCTTAGCTTGCTGGCCTAGATGCTAAGTAAACACTTCTCATTATCTTTCCCATCAGAACTCCAGGGTCAGAAAACCACAACTCTCCAAGAGGTTAAGCAAATGCCATATGTTAAAGGAAAGAAGTAAGCAATAAAATAGCTATTTCTAATGTTTATTTTTCAAACTACCAGAAAAAAAAGAAAAGTAGGAAAAGAGAAAGACAAAGCATGGCGAGGGTTTGGGGCAGAGATTATAGAAATAAATAGCCAAGAGATAAATGTATACAAATACAGACCTTATGTGTTCATGAATAATGCAGGATTCACACTGCACTGATGTGTTTAGACAAGAAGGGCAACTGGAGCTTTTAAAGGACAAGGACGTCTGACAGTTTCTTGAGGATTCTTCAGGGCTGTTTTCTTTTTTCATTACACACATGTATATGCACATATGCATATAATACACACACATATGAATATATATACATATATACACACACATACTTTACATTGATACAAGAAAGCTTAGGTTCTAATGATTGAATAAAGCTATTAGATGAAATATTAGGCAATTCTATTTATAACTCCACAGACGTTCTCTTTTATTAGGGAAGATGACCCAATGGTTTTCTGACTTTATTCCCTCCACCCAATCCCAAATCCAATGGCTCATTATTATAAATATGCCTGACCAAATCTACCTGCCCACGCATCCCTGGTTCTTTCAGACATACTCTCCTAATTCATCTCTAAACATAGTGCATATTTTCTCTGCTCCTGCTGCTGTGAAGCCAGGTAATACTGATACAAGTCACAAGCCTCTCTATTTGATCCAGAATGCATGGTATATAACTAAACATACCTGGAATCTCTATGTCAATACCATTTGTCTAAAGGAACTGATTTTCTCTTCCTGCAAGCCTATTTTTCCTTCTGATTAATTGATATTTGGTGATTATTATGATAGAGTTCTTGCTTCCCTGAAAATGAGTGTAAAAGTCTGTGTGTATATTTAATTCAATTTTTTAAATCTGCTTTTCAAAAGAAGGTAAACACCTCCCATGTCAGTTATCAAATCTAAAATTTTCACAGAATCATTTCCTTTACTAAACGGCTCTTCTTATAGGCCTGATTCTGTCTGGTTTAATTCAACAATAGTAACACAATCCCTGGCCAAATTATTTCTGGGCAAAAGTGAAGAAGCAAATTAGGCAAGGGCTTCCACACCTGAACTTAGACTTCTCTCTTTGTTTCTTTGAGAAATCCTTAGTTCTGTAGTCATCAAACACATCCACACTCTTCGTGCTTAACAAATATTTTCTGCATTGACCAGCAATAGAAATAATATAGGTATTTACTGTTGATCTCTCCTCATACTGGGGAAAAAAACACCTCCATATGCAAGTACTTGCAAGTGAAGTGGAGCATCCCATTATTAGAATTATACTATATAATTTTTTTTTTTTGAGATGAAGTCTCACTCTGTTGCCCAGGCTGTAGTGCAGTGGCGCAATCTAGGCTCACTGCAACCTCTGCCTCCTGGTTCAAGTGATTCTCCTGCCTCAGCCTCCCAAGTAGCTGGGATTACAGGCGCACACCGCCACGCCCGGCTACGTTTTGTATTTTTTAGTAGAGATGGGGTTTCACCACATTGGCCAGGATGGTCTCGATCTCTTGGCCTTGTGATCTGCCTGCCTCGGCCTCCCAAAGTGCTGGGATTACAGGCGTGAGCCACCACGCCCGGCCTACTATATAAAATATTAAAAACAATGTAACCTTCTAAAAATAGTGCCACATAGATCTAAACTAAATATGGGAACCCTAATGTCTCATGCTTCATTAACTCTTTCAGGTTCAAAGTGTTCTAAAGAGCTTCCTTTTATTGAATAATAATGGGCCTTTTGGCTTCTAAGCACAGATTCCATTTCTTCCAAATAAATCTGTACTGACCACAGCTAATTCCTCCTTTAAAAACACCATTAGGGCAGGCATGGTGGCTCATGCCTGTAATGCCAGCACTTTGGAAGACTAAGACAAGAGGATTACTTGAGCCCAGAAGTTCAAGACCATCCTGGGCAACATAGTGAGAGCTTGTTGCTACTAAAAATAAATATATAAAAAAATTAGTGGGGCATGGTTGCATGCACCTGCAGTCCAAGCTACTTGGGAGGCTGAGGCAGGAGGGTCACCTGAGCCCAGGAGTTCAAGGCTGCAGTGAGCTATGATTGCGCCACTGCCCTCTGGCAGGGCAACAGAGCTAGACCCCGTGTCAATTTAAAAAAGAAAAAGTCACCATTCAGTGTATGTATTGCAACAGATGTTATAGCCCTCATCCATCCCCTGCCGTCACTACAGTCATTTCTTACCTGAGCATTCTTAGCTGTCATCCACAAGATAAAGGTTTAGGATCTTTGTCTTCATGTTTTCTTACTCAGAATGCCTTCTTGTTTGTGAAAGCAATGAGGTGCCAAAGTATCATACCCTTTATTAAGCCTGACTAGCACTAAGTACAATGAAATAATTTGCACTGTACATTTCTCTCATTAGCTGATGTTCCCCATTGAATCTGTGGTCAACTGAAATTCCCTGACCTGCTTTGCATGGATTTCTATCAAAACAAATCTTTCCTAAACTGATTGTGCTTATTTATTTAATATGTTTATTTTAATGTAAGAAGATAGACTCTAGGATCAGGAAGACTTAAAATATTTTTTTCAGTCACAGTATTTTCAATCCCATGACCTTGAGAAATTAATTGAATATACTTTATTTTCAGTTTTGCCATCTAGAAAAAAATTAATAACTTCATGCCATAGGTTCTCTCAAAGAATTGAGAGACATAAAATGCCTGGCATAGAGGAGGTCTTCAAGAAATCTGGGCTCCTTGTTTATTTCACTTCATGGTTCCAGATCATTAAAAACTTTTTGGATCTGGTATCTGTGCCATCCGTAAATGCGGTCAAGCCTGTGATTTCGGTGTCCTCCTGTAAACTCTGTAAATCACTAGATAATGGGTAAGCACTCAGGACAGAATTCAAGGGCTTCTAATCAAAATGCTACCAAAGCCACATGAAGGATTTAGAAAACTCCATGCATAAAATGTTGATTGGTTTACTTCCTCGTGAGTTTGTTTCATTACTGAACAAAAAATGTAAACAGCAACCTAGAATGTGAGAAAGGTGATGTCACGTAATATTGCTTAAAGTCATATATCATACATATCAAATATTAGTTACCATGAGATCTTTTTTATTTTAAGATGGGATCTTGCTGTGTTGCCCAGGCTGATCTTGAACTACTAGGCTCAAGTGATCCTCTAGCCTCCCAGAATGCTGGGATTACAGGCATGATGAGCCACTATAACTGGCCTTTCATGAAGTCTTAATTCACTAAAAAAGACCCTTTCTACAACTACATATATATATGTGTGTGTGTGTATATATATAGTTATATTTATATATAGTTTATATATAAATAATATAGGTATGTTGATCATTTATTAATATGTAGTAGCTTATATAAGTATATTAATATAGTTATTTATACATATAGATATGTGTAATTACACATATGCATATATATGTATATATATATCATGATGCTGAAACCATTAGCAAGGATTTTTTTTGCAGCATTCCTTATACTAGTTGCCCAATGCCAGGAACTATACACATATATGTGTATGTATAATTTACATATAATAACTTCCAAGATATTCCAGGTCATCTTGCAAATACCTGATAAAATAATTCAACTGAACTCAAGTATGTAAGTAGAAAAAATATTTGTTCCAGCATTCTTAGTACTATAATGAAAAATAGAATGTCCTTATTTTAAGAAATCTGCTCACTGAAATCCAAGTTGTTCAGAAAAATAAATGTTTCATTAAGCCATAAATTGTAATGATGTGAGTTACAACATCCAGTAGGGGAAATGGTTTTTAGTTAGGACTGATTTTGAAATCTAACAAACTCATTTTTCACCTTTCACTGGACTAAAGGTCCAGTTAGATAAGATGGTATCTTATCTTCACACTGATTTTACCTTTTGACTGATTTTGAAATCTAACAAACTCATTTTTTACCTTTCACTGGACCTTTAGTCATATATAAACAATAAACAAAGAAAGATACCATCTTATCCACCTGGGCCTTTAGTCATATATAAACAATACTAAGCAATTCAGGGAACTACAAAGTTCAAAGAAAGAAAAACTGATATCATGAGAAATAAAACACACATGAGCATATGGAAAATTGCACTGGTATAAAGAATATCATCAGCTGAATAAAATTACAAAATCGCTCAGATGTGATAGTTTGATACAAAAGTATAAAAAATAGATTCATTCAACAAACATTTATTGAGTACCAAGTAAGGACCAAGTACTGTGATAGGTATTGGAGTTCAAGAATAAATAAAGAAGCCATTCTTGGCACTGGGAAACTAGCACAAGAAATGCTGTTAAAAAAAAAAAAAAAGTCCTTGCTAATGGTGTCAGTGTCATGATCTATCCACATATGACACGTTTTGTTGGTTTTCCCAGATATAGCCTTAATACTGTACCAAGGGATGGTGGTTTCCCTTTCTTTGCCACCAAACCACATTTCAGTCAAAGCTCCTTTAATCTTTTAAATAGTTTCCCACAGATACCCTTTTTCTTTTCTCTGATAGAATGGGGCATTGGTCTTGCATTTAGAACAATATACAGTGCACTTTAAATGCTTCAGGCCTTGAAAAGAATTATTCCCAAAGGCCTATCACAGTTTACCTGAGGGAAAATGTACAAAACAGGCACTATTCACATATCCATTATGCTACTGGTTAGACAGGAAGAATGAGGAAGTTTTCCAATAGCGGTATCATCTTGTGGACATCATCATGAGCTTCATATACCCATTAACAATGCGGAGATTGCACCAGCAACACATGAGGCCCTGGCCAACTGTGGTATTTTAAGATCAAACTGTAGGAAAAGTAAATACTTACTGTAGAAAAATGTCCACCACTTATTTAGTCTACTGATAGCATTTCCTGCAAGAGAGAATTGTGTATTTATTCGTGGATATTTGCATGTTTAATGACCAGTGAGTTCTGCTTTTATGAATAGCATTTCATAGACGTGTTTTTATTGAACACAGGGAATTGAAAAATTATAGTAATTAATTAGACACCTTGGGCAAAACCACAATCCTGTGTGTACTTGCCAAAGACATGAACTTTATATTTTAATCTGAATTTTTTGTTAATGTCTTCTTTAATTTTGTCAGTATGGCTGTAATTTTATATTATTATCCAAGACTAGAGGAATATATTTATTATCCTAGGTACAAAAGAAATTTAAAAATAAATACATAAACCAAACCTCTCTGGCCAGCCTTGCTTTTAAGCAAAATACACCCTTGGGCATTTCAGGGAATATCCTAACCAGACAGAATCCTGCCATTAGTAAGAAAATCAGTTTCATACATAAGGACACCCATTAACAGAGCTGGTCAAGAGAGAATGCAACTCATGCAAGAGTAGTGGTACTGCTAGTACTCAACTGCAATGAGATCTTTACTCAAGCCATGACTATAATTCTGAGCTTACCTAAAAGCAACAGGCATGAAATTATAACGTGGATAATAATTACTCAAAAAAGATAAAAATCTGTCCAGGAAAGGCTCTATATCACCAGTGGAATGAACTAGAAGACCACATCTCACACCTTTTCACTCTGTCTTCCTAATTGGAACACAGTTTTTCCTATTCATCTCATCACTCCGAATATCTCAAATCCCCTAAAACATCAAGTCTGCTTCCGCTAAGCAGTTTTTACTGCTGTTAAATGCTAATTGTTAATTTATTTCTCTTTCTAAAAGCTCTCCAAGAGCCTGAGCTTTTCTTCATTGAATCAGCTTGTCCTGAGGATACAGCTAAACCTGCCTTTGATCAGTGTTTAAATCTTCTAGATGCTCAGGGGGGTGTAGTTTAGTATTTATGAGAAAGTAATTATAAAGGATGGAGAACAGGAATATTATAGCTGCTTCTAGCTCAAGAAATGATCAGTCAGAATTTTCTGTCCCCTCTTCTGTCTTTATAGAGAAGAGATCATGCTAAGGAATGTAAAATTTGAAAGTCTGGGAATACTTTTAATTTAAAAGGGAATGTGGATTCCAAGTCCAGTAGATTTTATTCTACTCATAATAAAGGATATTTCAGAAACAGACTGTAACATAGATGGAAAACAAGAAAACATATCCTCTTTTATGTTTAAGCAGTTATGGGCAACATTTTCTAGCATACATTCTTGAGTAACTGTAAGAAAGCATTACCTGAAAACCAAATAACTATATAACTTGGTCAAAAACAAAGTGAGTGCATAGAAATAAATAGAACATCAATATTCAATGATTAGGGTATGAACCACAAGGAAGGGAAAGTAATACTTAGAGAGTCTGCAGCCAATGCAAATGGGAGTAATGAGGCAAGAAATTAAGAAATAAAAATTTAATATGAGTATTATAAAATGTTCCCTGGTGAATAATCACAAGAACATGCAAAAAATAGTGATAGAAATCCGATAATGCCCAGTGATTATTCAAAACTGACCCCAAAGAATGTTCCATAGAAATAAAAGAAGCAGAGGCACCCAAGCTCATCTCTAGTTCTTATTTCCTGGACTCACGTAAAGGAACACTCCCAATAAATCCCATATTACTCGCCAACACTTCCTGTCTGACTGAAACATGACAACAGCTGGAGAATGGCTCAAGGTTGGCAACTGTTATTACTTCGTTCTAGAATCTTGGTGATGATGCTAAAAGGGAAAGAAGTATTTTGGTGGCATTCCAACAATGGTTTTTTATAACATTCCTCACCACAGATAAAGTAATCGTCCTAGCATTGGACCTAAGAAAAAGCAAATCCGAGATCTACTCCGTGTTGTTTCTGGGTCAGGACCCAGCATCCAAACTGTCCCTTCCTTCCTTCCCTAATTGCTTCTTCACATCTCATCTGCAGAGCCTGTGCTTGCCTTTGCATGCATCGAGGGCTTCTGTGCTGATGATCTGACATGAAAGAAGATACTTTCCTTTTGAGATATAAATTTGTATGTTTTTATTTTGTCATGTTCTTGAAAATGCTTGACCATTTAGTATACACAATGCAACTTGATTCTCTGTGGCATAAAACACTATATTTTTTTGGAAATGTTACTGTCCAAAAGCCTCCTGAAAGAAGATACTTTTAAAATTGTGGATGAATTTAGTGCTCCTCCCTTTTTTTGCCTAAATAATCTCATTTCTTGCCCAGTCTAACTTGAATTGGGGCTATGAAAAACCTACACAGAGATTTTTATCTGAAACATGTCATTAATATTTCATGCTCTTACATTGGTTTGAAATCCTTTTGCTTACATTCCCTGAACCACCATCAGTAAAACTTTCTGTGGATTCAGCCCACTCCCAATGTAGGTATTTTCATTCATTTTTAACACGTAGACATGTATTATTATATTTATACACTAAATGTGCTATGAAACAGACTATAACAAAAATATAAAGGAATACGATTAAAATAAATATAAATAGATGTTCTAAAACTTTCATTCTATGCTGCCCTCCAATGTATGTATCCCACTTTGGAGCAACTTCTCTACATTATGACTTGTCATCATCTAGCAGAACAATACAATTCGGTTGCCGGGGCTTTTCCTTCCTGTCCTGAGTTGAATTGTGTCTCTCCCAAAAGATATGATGAAATCCTAACCCCCCAGTACCTCGGAGTGTGACCTTATTTGGAAATAGGGTCACTACAGATGTAATCAGCTAAGATAAGGTCATATTGGAGTAGGATAGACATAGTAGGATAGTAGGATAAGTCATCCAATATGACTTGCATCCTTATGTGAAGAGGGGAAGACACACAGGCACTAAAGGTGAGAATGCCATGTGACAACAAGGCCGTGATCAAAGTGCTGCAGCTGCAAACCAAAGAATGCCAAAGATTGTCAGCAAATCAAAAGAGGTTAGAAAGAGGCAAGGAAGGATCCTCCCTGAGAGCCTCCAGAGAGATCTTGGCCCCGCCAACACTTTTTTTTTCTTTTTTGAGAAGTAGCCTCGCTCTTGTCACCCAGGCTGGAGTGCAGTGGCACGATCTCAGCTCACTGCAACCTCCACCTCCCGGGTTCAAGCAATTATCCTGCCTCAGCCTCCTCAGTAGCTGGGATTACAGGCACCCACCACCACGCCCAGCTAATTTTTTGTACTTTTAGTAAAGACAGGGTTTCACCACGTCAGCCAGGCTGGTCTCGAACTCCTGACCTCAAGTGATCTGCCTGCCTCAGCCTCCCAAAGTGCTGGGATTACAGGTGTGAGCCACCGTGTCCAGCCCCACCAACACTTTTATTTCAGACTTTTCACCTCCAGAGCCATGATATGATAACTTTGTATTGTTGTAAGCCTCTCAGTTTGTAATTCTTTGTTATGGCATTCCTAGGAAATGAATACACTTCCTAATATAGGAAAACTTCTAAATTCCCTCTAAACAATGGACTACTACACCCCCAGAATTCAATAGAGAGAGAGAGAGAGAGAGAGAGAGAGAGAGAGGGACAGGACAGATTACATGATGATAAAGTCCAGTGTAATAGAACAAGAGTTACCTGAGGAGTGGAGTCTGCATGGTAAAATTATCAATATGCAGGGCAAGTTGTCAACTGGCATGCACCCAGATAACTGTATCAATTATTAAAATGTTAAAATACTTGCATAAATAGATGATGAATGTCACTGCTTCAAACATACCCTTACCACCGATCATCCGGTCCCTTTCCCCTCTTTCCACAATTCAACAACTAACAGGTCAATGCCAGTCTCAGCAGGGGACCTGAGTCATTTTCATTGGTTCCATTTCCTACTGGTTGTTGAATATTTTTAATATCATCTCAGACAAGATACCTAACAGAGATTGGGTTTCTTGTTGGCTAAACAATCTCCACAGCTGAGACCTATAAGAGAAGTAATGAAATCCCTGTTCTAAGTACATTCTTTTTTCTCAGTATCTGCACCAAATGTTCATTTTGAGTCAACAACGAGATACATTTACAAGGTGTTGGAAACAAGCAAATGTTTGCATGGTACTCTTACAATGTAGATTAATGTAATGTTTTTTCCAGCATTCTCAATCATGTTCCTGTCTTGAGAACACTCAGTCTGTGTGTGTGTGAAGAAATAAGAATCATACCTTCCTCGCGATTCGGGAGTCCCAGCACTGAAGTAAGGTTAAGTAAGGCTAGCGATTTACACCTTACAAAGCAATGGATTCAGCCTGATTAATTTTGATGCCTAGTGATTTCGGAGTGCTATTTACATGTGACATCATCTGGAAATGTATTTCTTATTTAACCATCTCCCCAAAGGGCCATATCTCGCTCTGCTTTCTTTCCAGTAGCAAATAATTGTCCATATTAAGAAATAAAGCTTTGTGTAGCATTGAATTATATTAAATAGATTGTTTTCTAAAGTATAACTTCTTTCTATTGTAGCTCGTTCTGGCTAGGCTAACACAAGAAACAGAGCAACCAAGAATATACTCAGGCTTGCTTTCTTATATCCCTTTTTTATATTAAAGGAAAAGAAGATGAGGAAAATAATTAACCTGGTTAGGAAAAACTACATAAGTTTTGCCTGGCTTGAATAAAGAATCTGATGTTATTTATTGTAATATTTTTCTGCACTTTGGTACTTGTTTTGTCTGGTGATCAGATATCTTTGTGTGGAGTCAATTTCATTTTGATATTTTATTTCTCACTTTTCTCCTGGTGAGCTTTGGAAGGGGTGGTGGTTTCCCTTTCTTTGCCACCAAACCACGTTTCTGTAAAGGCTGTTTAAACTTTTTTAATAGTTTCTCTACAGAGACCCCTTTTCTTTTTTCGAATAGGATGGAGCATTGGTCCTGCATTTACTTAGAACAATATATAGTACAAATCAAATACTATCAGCCCAGGAAAGAATTATTCCCAAACACCTGTCAAAGTTTACTTGAGGAAAAGACTAACAACTAAGTTATTAGTCTTTGAGATTGCTATGAAGACTTGTAAGCTTTCACTATTTTTACCAGGTATGTTTTAAGTCTTAATGGACTGAATAATGCCATTACAATAATAATGGCTATTCTCCATCACAGCTCAGCCGTGGGAATCAACAGCACATTACAGGATAAAAGAAGTACAATGAGGGAAATTAGATACATTATCACCTGGGAATTCCATCGTAACTCACGGGCTGCCAAGTTTCCAAGGGAAATCAGGCTGTAGTGGCAGCCACAGAAGATTTGGACAGACCATAGCATATAATAAGCAGGCGTCCTGGCAAAAGCTTAGAATGCTTCCCTGTGCTACTTTTGGTCTTTGATGATGGTGATGTACAGATGGGTTTTCAGTGTAGATGTCCTTTCTGGTTGTTAGTTTTCCTTCTAACAGACAGGACCCTCAGCTGCAGGTCTGTTGGAATACCCTGCCGTGTGAGGTGTCAGTGTACCCCTGCTGGGGGGTGCCTCCCAGTTAGGCTGCTTGGGGGTCAGGGGTCAGGGACCCACTTGAGGAGGCAGTCTGCCCGTCCTCAGATCTCCAGCTGCGTGCTGGGAGAACCACTGCTCTCTTCAAAGCTGTCAGACAGGGACACTTAAGTCTGCAGAGGTTACTGCTGTCTTTTTGTTTGTCTGTGCCCTGCCCCCAGAGGTGGAGCCTACAGAGGCAGGCAGGCCTCCTTGAGCTGTGGTGGGCTCCACCCAGTTCGAGCTTCCCGGCTGCTTTGTTTACCTAAGCAAGCCTGGGCAATGGCGGGCGCCCCTCCCCCAGCCTCGTTGCCGCCTTGCAGTTTGATCTCAGACTGCTGTGCTAGCAATCAGCGAGATTCCGTGGGCGTAGGACCCTCTGAGCCAGGTGTGGGATATAGTCTCGTGGTGCGCCGTTTCTTAAGCCGGTCTGAAAAGCGCAATATTCGGGTGGGAGTGACCCGATTTTCCAGGTGCGTCCGTCACCCCTTTCTTTGACTCGGAAAGGGAACTCCCTGACCCCTTGCGCTTCCCAGGTGAGGCAATGCCTCGCCCTGCTTCGGCTCGCGCACGGTGCGCGCACACACTGGCCTGCGCCCACTGTCTGGCACTCCCTAGTGAGATGAACCCGGTACCTCAGATGGAAATGCAGAAATCACCCGTCTTCTGCGTCGCTCACGCTGGGAGCTGTAGACCGGAGCTGTTCCTATTCGGCCATCTTGGCAAAGATGGGGAAAAAACAGAACAGAAAAACTGGAAACTCTAAAACGCAGAGCGCCTCTCCTCCTCCAAAGGAACGCAGTTCCTCACCAGCAACAGAACAAAGCTGGATGGAGAATGATTTTGACGAGCTGAGAGAAGAAGGCTTCAGACGATCAAATTACTCTGAGCTACGGGAGGACATTCAAACCAAAGGCAAAGAAGTTGAAAACTTTGAAAAAAATTTAGAAGAATGTATAACTAGAATAACCAATACAGAGAAGTGCTTAAAGGAGCTGATGGAGCTGAAAACCAAGGCTCCAGAACTACGTGAAGAATGCAGAAGCCTCAGGAGCCGATGCGATCAACTGGAAGAAAGGGTATCAGCAATGGAAGATGAAATGAATGAAATGAAGCGAGAAGGGAAGTTTAGAGAAAAAAGAATAAAAAGAAATGAGCAAAGCCTCCAAGAAATATGGGACTATGTGAAAAGACCAAATCTACATCTGATTGGTGTACCTGAAAGTGATGTGGAGAATGGAACCAAGTTGGAAAACACTCTGCAGGATATTATCCAGGAAAACTTCCCCAATCTAGCAAGGCAGGCCAACGTTCAGATTCAGGAAATACAGAGAACGCCACAAAGATACTCCTCGAGAAGAGCAACTCCAAGACACATAATTGTCAGATTCACCAAAGTTGAAATGAAGGAAAAAATGTTAAGGGCAGCCAGAGAGAAAGGTCGGGTTACCCTCAAAGGAAAGCCCATCAGACTAACAGCGGATCTCTCGGCAGAAACCCTACAAGCCAGAAGAGAGTGGGGGCCAATATTCAACATTCTTAAAGAAAAGAATTTTCAACCCAGAATTTCATATCCAGCCAAACTAAGCTTCATAAGTGAAGGAGAAATAAAATACTTTATAGACAAGCAAATGCTGAGAGATTTTGTCACCACCAGGCCTGCCCTAAAAGAGCTCCTGAAGGAAGCACTAAACATGGAAAGGAACAACCGGTACCAGCCGCTGCAAAATCATGCCAAAATGTAAAGACCATCGAGACTAGGAAGAAACTGCATCAACTAATGAGCAAAATCACCAGCTAACATCATAATGACAGGATCAAATTCACACATAACAATATTAACTTTAAATATAAATGGACTAAATTCTGCAATTAAAAGACACAGACTGGCAAGTTGGATAAAGAGTCAAGACCCATCAGTGTGCTGTATTCAGGAAACCCATCTCACGTGCAGAGACACACATAGGCTCAAAATAAAAGGATGGAGGAAGATCTACCAAGCCAATGGAAAACAAAAAAAGGCAGGGGTTGCAATCCTAGTCTCTGATAAAACAGACTTTAAACCAACAAAGATCAAAAGAGACAAAGAAGGCCATTACATAATGGTAAAGGGATCAATTCAACAAGAGGAGCTAACTATCCTAAATATTTATGCACCCAATACAGGAGCACCCAGATTCATAAAGCAAGTCCTGAGTGACCAACAAAGAGACTTAGACTCCCACACATTAATAATGGGAGACTTTAACACCCCACTGTCAACATTAGACAGATCAACGAGACAGAAAGTCAACAAGGATACCCAGGAATTGAACTCAGCTCTGCACCAAGCAGACCTAATAGACATCTACAGAACTCACCACCCCAAATCAACAGAATATACATTTTTTTCAGCACCACACCACACCTATTCCAAAATTGACCACATAGTTGGAAGTAAAGCTCTCCTCAGCAAATGTAAAAGAACAGAGATTATAACAAACTATCTCTCAGACCACAGTGCAATCAAACTAGAACTCAGGATTAAGAATCTCACTCAAAGCCGCTCAACTACATGGAAACTGAACAACCTGCTCCTGAATGACTACTGGGTACATAACGAAATGAAGGCAGAAATAAAGATGTTCTTTGAAACCAACGAGAACAAAGACACCACATACCAGAATCTCTGGGACACATTCAAAGCAGTGTGTAGAGGGAAATTTATAGCACTAAATGCCTACAAGAGAAAGCAGGAAAGATCCAAAATTGACACCCTAACATCACAATTAAAAGAACTAGAAAAGCAAGAGCAAACACATTCAAAAGCTAGCAGAAGGCAAGAAATAACTAAAATCAGAGCAGAACTGAAGGAAATAGAGACACAAAAAACCCTTCAAAAAATCAATGAATCCAGGAGCTGGTTTTTTGAAAGGATCAACAAAATTGATAGACCGCTAGCAAGACTAATAAAGAAAAAAAGAGAGAAGAATCAAATAGACACAATAAAAAATGATAAAGGGGATATCACCACCGATCCCACAGAAATACAAACTACCATCAGAGAATACTACAAACACCTCTACGCAAATAAACTAGAAAATCTAGAAGAAATGGATACATTCCTCGACACATACACTCTCCCAAGACTAAACCAGGAAGAAGTTGAATTTCTGAAGAGACCAATATCAGGCTCTGAAATTGTGGCAATAATCAATAGTTTACCAACCAAAAAGAGTCCAGGACCAGATGGATTCACAGCCGAATTCTACCAGAGGTACAAGGAGGAACTGGTACCATTCCTTCTGAAACTATTCCAATCAATAGAAAAAGAGGGAATCCTCCCTAACTCATTTTATGAGGCCAGCATCATTCTGATACCAAAGCCGGGCAGAGACACAACCAAAAAAGAGAATTTTAGACCAATATCCTTGATGAACATTGATGCAAAAATCCTCAATAAAATACTGGCAAACCGAATCCAGCAGCACATCAAAAAGCTTATCCACCATGATCAAGTGGGCTTCATCCCTGGGATGCAAGGCTGGTTCAATATACGCAAATCAATAAATGTAATCCAGCATATAAACAGAGCCAAAGACAAAAACCACATGATTATCTCAATAGATGCAGAAAAAGCCTTTGACAAAATTCAACAACCCTTCATGCTAAAAACTCTCAATAAATTAGGTATTGATGGGACGTATTTCAAAATAATAAGAGCTATCTATGACAAACCCACAGCCAATATCATACTGAATGGGCAAAAACTGGAAGCATTCCCTTTGAAAACTGGTACAAGACAGGGATGCCCTCTGTCACCGCTCCTATTCAACATAGTGTTGGAAGTTCTGGCCAGGGCAATCAGGCAGGAGAAGGAAATAAAGGGTATTCAATTAGGAAAAGAGGAAGTCAAATTGTCCCTGTTTGCAGACGACATGATTGTTTATCTAGAAAACCCCATCGTCTCAGCCCAAAATCTCCTTCAGCTGATAAGCAACTTCAGCAAAGTCTCAGGATACAAAATCAATGTACAAAAATCACAAGCATTCTTATACACCAATAACAGACAAACAGAGAGCCAAATCATGAGTGAACTCCCATTCACAATTGCTTCAAAGAGAATAAAATACCTAGGAATCCAACTTACAAGGGATGTGAAGGACCTCTTCAAGGAGAACTACAAACCACTGCTCAAGGAAATAAAAGAGGACACAAACAAATGGAAGAACATTCCATGCTCATGGGTAGGAAGAATCAATATCGTGAAAATGGCCATACTGCCCAAGGTAATTTACAGATTCAATGCCATCCCCATCAAGCTACCAATGACTTTCTTCACAGAATTGGAAAAAACTACTTTAAAGTTCATATGGAACCAAAAAAGAGCCCGCATCGCCAAGTCAATCCTAAGCCAAAAGAACAAAGCTGGAGGCATCACACTACCTGACTTCAAACTATACTACAAGGCTACAGTAACCAAAACAGCATGGTACTGATACCAAAACAGAGATATAGATCAATGGAACAGAACAGAGCCCTCAGAAATAATGCCACATATCTACAACTATCTGATCTTTGACAAACCTGAGAAAAACAAGCAATGGGGAAAGGATTCCCTATTTAACAAATGGTGCTGGGAAAACTGGCTAGCCATATGTAGAAAGCTGAAACTGGATCCCTTCCTTACACCTTATACAAAAATCAATTCAAGATGGATTAAAGATTTAAACGTTAGACCTAAAACCATAAAAACCTTAGAAGAAAACCTAGGCATTACCATTCAGGACATAGGCGTGGGCAAGGACTTCATGTCCAAAACACCAAAAGCAATGGCAACAAAAGCCAAAATTGACAAATGGGATCTAATTAAACTAAAGAGCTTCTGCACAGCAAAAGAAACTACCATCAGAGTGAACAGGCAACCTACAACATGGGAGAAAATTTTCACAACCTACTCATCTGACAAAGGGCTAATATCCAGAATCTACAATGAACTCAAACAAATTTACAAGAAAAAATCAAACAACCCCATCAAAAAGTGGGTGAAGGACATGAACAGACACTTCTCAAAAGAAGACATTTATGCAGCCAAAAAACACATGAAGAAATGCTCATCATCAATGGCCATCAGAGAAATGCAAATCAAAACCACTATGAGATATCATCTCACACCAGTTAGAATGGCAATCATTAAAAAGTCAGGAAACAACAGGTGCTGGAGAGGATGTGGAGAAATAGGAACACTTTTACACTGTTGGTGGGACTGTAAACTAGTTCAACCATTGTGGAAGTCAGTGTGGCGATTCCTCAGGGATCTAGAACTAGAAATACCATTTGACCCAGCCATCCCATTACTGGGTATATACCCAAAGGACTATAAATCATGCTGCTATAAAGCCACATGCACACGTATGTTTATTGCGGCACTATTCACAATAGCAAAGACTTGGAACCAACCCAAATGTCCAACAATGATAGACTGGATTAAGAAAATGTGGCACATATACACCATGGAATACTATGCAGCCATAAAAAATGATGAGTTCATGTCCTTTGTAGGGACATGGATGAAATTGGAAACCATCATTCTCAGTAAACTATCGCAAGAACAAAAAACCAAACACCGCATATTCTCACTCATAGGTGGGAATTGAACAATGAGATCACATGGACACAGGAAGGGGAATATCACACTCTGGGGACTGTGGTGGGGTCGGGGGAGGGGGGAGGGATAGCATTGGGAGATATACCTAATGCTAGATGACACGTTAGTGGGTGCAGCGCACCAGCATGGCACATGTATACATATGTAACTAACCTGCACAATGTGCACATGTACCCTAAAACTTAGAGTATAATAAAAAAAAAATTAAAAAATAAATAAATAAATAAATAAATAAAATAAAAAAAAATAAAATAAAATAAAATAAAATTACTCACAAAAAAAAAAAAAAAAAAGAATGCTTCCCTGTGCTGATGAGGAACAAACACTGGCTGTTGTACACATTCAGTGCATATTCTTAATAATTTGCTCTCAATTGCGTTCTTAGTGATATTAGTTTCTATCATGCAAGACAAGAGAGACACTTTTGATTTTGTTCTTCATCTAGCTTCCATCTG